>NW_003571054.1:614793-700652 GCF_000001405.40 Homo sapiens | reverse complement strand
GAATTCATCACTAAGACCTCAAAAGCACAGGCAATAAAAATAAAACTAGACCAATGGGACTTAATAAACGAAAGAGCTTCTGCCAAGCAAAGGAAATAGTAGCAGGGTGAACAGACAACCCACAGAATGAATGGAAATGTTTGCAAACTATGCACCCAACAGAGGACTAACATCCAGAATTTCTAGGCAACTCAAACAACTAAACATAACCCCTCAAATAATAGCATTAAAAAGTGGGCAAAGGGATATACATAGACATTTTTCAAAAGAAGACATACGAATGGCCAAACAGCGTATGAACATCACTAATCATCAGAGAAATGCAAATTGAAACCACAATGAGATATCATCTTACAGTAGTCAGAATGGCTATTACTAAAAATGCTGGTGGGGAGTGGTGGCTCACGCTTGTAATCCCAGCACTTTGGGAAGCTGAGGCGGGTGGATCATGAGGTCAGGAGTTTGAGACCAGCCTGACCAACATAGTGAAACCCCATCTCTACTAAATATACAAAAGATTAGCTGGGCATGGTGGTGTGGTTCTGTAATCCCAGCTACTCAGGAGGCTGAGGCAGGAGAATCATTTGAACCTGGTTGGTGGAGGTTGCAGCGCGTGGAGATGGCGGCACTGCACTCCAGCCTGGGTGACAGTGGAAGACTCCATCTCAAAAAGAAAAAAAGAAAAAGTGAAACATATAACAGGTGTTGGCAAGGATGCAGAGAAAAGGAAACTCTTATACACTGTTGGCCGGTATGTAAATTAGTATAGCCTCTATGGAAGACAGTATGGAAATTTGGCAGAGAACCAAAAATAGAAGCACCATTCGATCTAGGGGTCCCGCTGCTGGGTATCTACTCAAAAAATACCTGCACCTGTATGTTTATTGCAGCACTGTTTGCAATAGCAAAGATATGAAATCAATCTAAGTGTCTGTGAATGAATGATTGGATTAAAAAAAGGATGCGTGTATACACAACGAAATACTATTTGGTCATAAAAATAAAACCATGTCTTTTGCAGCAACATAGATGGAGCTGGACGCCATTATTTTACATAAAACCACTCAGAAAGACAAATACCACATCTTCTCACTCTACATGGGAGGGGAGTAATGTGTACATATGGACGTAGAGTGTGGAATGACGGACAGCGGAGGCTAGAAGGCTGGAGGGTGGCGGGACGTGGGTGAGTGATGAGAATTTGCTTAATGAGTACAATGTACGGTATTTGGGTGATGGATATAGTAAAAGTCCTGACTTCACTACTCTGCAACATACTCATGTCACAAAATTACAAGTGTACCTCATAAATTTATACTAATAGAAAAGAAAGTCTGTACACAGTAATCAATTGTGATATGTAGATAAAGTCAATATTAAATTTAAACCAGAATAACTAGTTAAAATGTTGTGTACACAACAGTGAAGAGAGTATTTATCCTCTATGACAGAGGAAACCATCAATATTAATGCACAGAAAAAGCAAATAACTGAAACAAGAAAGAGCAGTTTTGTGACAGGGTAAAAATTGACAACAGTTTTAGAATGCTCCTAACTTGAGTTCCAAAAAGAAAGAACGAGAAAACAGGTCAGAAGCAATCTTTAAAGAGGCAATTGTTGATTATTTGGAGGAAGTAGACACATCCATCAATCCACAGGTTCAAGAAATCCAGTGAATGCCAGGCAGAATGAAGTAAACACACCTCACGTTCAACATTACAGAAAAGCAGCATAAAAGCACAACCAACCCTTAAAATTAGCCAGAGGAAAAGGATCAGCTGGTAAGGATTTATAGGGAGCCAAGCATTGTCTTCCCCACAGAAAAAAGGAAAACATAAGCCAGTAGAATAGCATCTTTACCCAGCTAAGATACCGTCGCCAGCCACCGACAATTCCTTACATAGTACAGTTACTGTCCAAGATCAACGCAGGAAAGAAACAGAACTGAAAGACAAAAGGGCAAAGAAAGCTTTTCTCACTGACCCTAAAGGAAATTCTGATGACCGTGCCTCAAAGATAAAGAAAGTGAAACCAGATGGGGTGTCGAAGATTCTGACAATAACTAAGAGCAGAGGAAGAACTAAAAATATGGCTATGCCAAAAATGAATATGGACCATACGATAGTGTATGAAAACACGCCCCTGTGTAATTTCTGAAAAAGATAGAATTATGTATACCACAAAACAAAACATCATATAAGTAAATACAAACATATGTACTAAATATGCTCTAAAATCCTGTTCTTACACAGGAAGAGTGGAAATATGTTTTTATATTTGCAGTTTAATCTCTGAAATGATTAATTTCAATTTTAAAAATATGTAACAACTTCAGGATGAGTACACCATATATGTATTCCTAAACGACATAGATCAAAAATAGAATGTTTGAAATAGAAAACCACAGAAGTCAGTGGGAAAAAAAGGGAATCAGGAAAACACAACGTAATAATAACAAAAATATGATTGGAAGAACTGCTCAAACATGAACAAAAGATTGTCAGAAAGTCTTACTTTCTAAGGCGAATTGTTTGAAATTTACAAAGGACACATCTCAATGTTAACAATTCATGGAGTTTGAAATTAAACAATGTAGAAATATACCAAGCAATCACTGTTAGAAATGTGGTATAACTATATTAAAATTAGACAAAATTAGTCTTTGGGAAAAATCAGCGGAAAACATTAAGCATAAAATGTAGGAAAAAAGCAGGTAAATTTATAGCATTTTAAATTTACCAGGAATATATAATCAGTTTACACTTAACCACTCCCAGTAATATTCCTGCAAATATACATGGAGGAAGAGTCGCGGAAATAAATGGACAGGTAGGCAAATCCACGGCCACAGTGGGGTGTTTAACACTCCTCTTTTCTCAGTTGTTGATAGAAGTGGTTCAGGCAATTAGAGAGGATTTAGAAAGATAATTGCTGGACCTGACCCAAGGTATAAGTCCACTCCCAACCACAGGACTCACTTTCCTTACAAGCACAAGGGCATTTAGAAATCTCTCTGGATTCTGACCAGCCCTCACCATATGGCAGGTCCATGGACTTCTTGGAACACACCAAGCTCATTCTCACATTAGGGTCATCCCCAATGTCCTAAGTCCATGAAAGTTCCTTTCAACACACTCCCCAGGGCTCACTCCCTCTTGTCTCTAAGATCGGAGTTTAAATGTGATCTCTCTGATGAGGTCTCAGTGAGACGTTCCCTCCTGTACACTCCAAATGACAACGTTCCACGTTCATTCATTTCATTCTGTGCATGGCACTTTCACCAAGTGCTAAGGATTCACTCACTAATTCATACATTCATTCATTCATTCATTCACTCATTCCATCATTCACTCATTCATTCATTCTCTCATTCATTCATTCATGTTCTGCCTCTCTCTCCCACCCCACAGCAATGTGAGCATCATGAACCCAGGAGCTTGGCCGTGCTGTCTACTCCTGGCCGTGAAACAGAGAGAACTGATGGTAGGTGTGAAATAAATATTAGATGAATGAGTTAGTGAAGGGGTCATTTACTGGGTGAGCTCAGTTCTCTCTACTCTAATGCCCTCCCTCGGCTGACTTCCCTGAGTTGCCCCCTCGGCTGAGTGAAGTCCCTTCACTGGCAAATGGAACCTCAACCAGTAGCACCTAGGTGGTCTCATACTTTGTTCTTTCCCTCTCCTCTTGCTCCCTAAGGATTATCAATCTCCATGACAGGGCTGGAGAGCAGACAAGCCACACATTCTTTCTGGGGAGAGAGTAACATGGAGTACAAGGCATTCCACATTTAGGAAGAGAACTCAGTTATGGAAGGTCAGAAATGAAAAGTTCCTACAGACCAACACCCAGGTTGGTGGCCACAGCCCTAAATGCTGATGGAGAATCACTGCAAGTCTGTAGGGAAGATGTCTGGCTTGAGGCCACTGAGCGAAGTGGCAGATCCTTCTCAGCCTTCAGTGCTGAGCCTCTGTCCCCTCAGGGATCCACTGACCAATGAGAAGAGCCTCTTCTCATCTCCTGGGATGGAGCTTGGGGCCCCTGGCGAAGGAATGGGCCTGTTTCCACCTGTCATGTTGTCATCTAGCTTGGAAATCCTGCGAGTCCCAGGGAGGCCCTCCCCGAGTCCCCAGAGAAGACTCCCCCACTGAGTCTCCAAGGTGTGGAGAGAGCAAAAAACATCTAGGGTGGAAAATGCCTCCCATCAAGAGACATTGGGGCTCCCCCAACGATGGTTGCATCTGTGCCCCCCATGTGGAAATCACTCTTTGGTGAGAGGTGGGGGCTTCTGGAAATGGGCAATGGCGGGCGGCCAATGCTACCTCTAGTCTTTCCAATCTGAGCCCGGCCTTTCATGCTCCTGAGTCAGCATTGATGCTGTTTACATGTGTCCCAGGTGGGCTTCTGTACAAAGACTGGGAAGTGGTTTATGTGGCCTGTGCTCTATCTGCAAGCTTCAGGTAGGGTTGCAGTTACCACCCCAAACCCTAATGTGATCTGTCTGCCTCGCTCTGTCTGTCTGTCTATGCCTCTTTCTGTATGTTTGCTTTGTGTCTCTTCTGTCCAGCATCTCTGGCTGACACCCCCATGGCCACCCCCTCCATCTGAGGCTCCCCTGAATGTGGCCATTGTAGTCCATCTGAGTCCCACTATTTGGGGAACAGACTGGTTTCCTCACCTGTGACAGAAACAAGCAGTGGGTCACTAAGGTCTGACCACTCGTAGGGAGAGTCACGGAAAGAGCCGAAGCATCTGTAGGTCCCTCCGTGGGTGGCAGGGCCCAGAGGAAAGTTGGCCTGGAAGGTTCCATTGACCTTGGGCACTGCAGGGAGCCTAAGTTCATGAGCCTCCCCGTCCCTTGATAGATGGTAGATGTCATAGGAGCTCCGGGAGCTGCAGGACAAGGTCACGCTCTCTCCTGCCTTAACCATGGGGCACGGCTGGGCTGAGAGAGAAGGTTTCCCACATAGACCTGGAAGGAGAAGAGGCAGTTTCCTCAGGGAGGTTCTTCCTTGTCACAACTCCCCTCCCACCTGAGCTGAGAACTCACTCCCCTGCTCTATGGCCTAATGCTCTCTCTCTCTGTCTCACCCTCCACACCATCTCTCTTTATGTCTATTTCCTCTTTCCACCTTCTCTGTCTCTCTAGGTCTCTGACCTCACTTTCTCACCTCTAGATATGTTTTCCCTTTTTGGATTGTTTTATTCTCTCTGACTCTCCTTGGACTAGTTGACTTGATGTTACTTTTTTTAAATTCTGAGTTTCTCACTTTGTGTCCTGTTCATAACTTTCTGCATATTTCTATCTATTATCTATCGATATATCTATTTATCTATTTGGTGCCTATCTACAAATTCTCTACCTGTCATCTATATCTATATATAATCTATTTATCTATCAATTGTCTATCCAAAAATCATCTATTATCTATATCTATGTATCGTCTCTCTCTCTCTATGATTTCTCTTTGTCTGCCTCTCTATCTCTATGTATTATCTATCTATCTTCATCTTCATCATCTCTATGTATCATCGATTAATCAATGAATGAATCAATCATCATCTATGTATCTTTAACCTATTATCTATCATCTACCTATTTATCATCTATCTATATCTATCCATCTATCATCTGTCTTGCTCTGCCTCTCGGTCTCTCTAGTTCTCTTTGGAATCTCTGCAATTCATCCCCACATCTCCATCTTTCTATGTCCTTGTGTCTCTCCCTCAGGACTCTAATTTTAGTGCTTTTCTCTGTTCCCTTCCATTGTTCTCTCCACTTCTCTGCCCTCTTTTCTCCCTCTTTATGTGTCTGTGAGTCTCTCAATCTCCTTCCTCTGGCTCATTCTCTGTGTGTTTATGTCTTTGCTTTTTGGTGTCCCTGATTTCTCTCTGTGTCTCTCAGTGATCCTCTCATATGTGGGGTTATTTGGAATGTGAGCCTCAGAATCCAGTCTGGGGACCGCAAGTTCACACAGTATACAGGGGTTGATGTTCTGGGGCCATGATATCCTGGGACGATTACTCTCCATTGCATGGAAGGCAGAGGTGTCAGAATAAACACGGCATCTGTAGGTGCCAGAAGGCCTGAGGCCACAGGGCCCAACTCAGGCCAGAAATATGGGTGTCCTTGGGTTCTTCTGGTAGAGAACACTTTGTGGAAGTAAAACAGAAATGAAACTTCTAACCTGTGCCAGGTCTCTGAGCAAAGTCAGCATGGAAGGACACCTCTCTCTGGCACATGTCTGTCTGTGTCTCCTTTAACTCTTTCTGTCTTTTCTAACTCCCTGTATGGCCCCTGTGTCTGTCCTCTGTTATGACACCTGGTCTGTACTTGTGTCTCCTGTTTCTCTGTCTCTGTTGGTACAGACCTCACCAAGTTAGTCTCTCTCCATAAGAATACCAAGCTCATCTTCCTTATAACCACCTGGGCCTCCAAGTCGTGGATCATTCACTCTGTGTCCCAGTGACAATGAGAATAATGTCCAGACACTCTCACCTGTAATCACGATGTCCAGAGGGTCACTGGGAGCTGACAACTGATAGGGGGAATGAGGAACAGAACCGTAGCATCTGTAGGTCCCTGCAAGGTCTTGCGTCATGCGACCGATGGAGAAGTTGGCCTTGGAGACCCCATCATGGAGCTCTCCAGTGAGGCGCAAAGTGTCATTAAACGTCCCCTCTCTGTGCAGAAGGAAGTGCTCAAACATGACATCTGACCAACATTGCAGGATGACTGTCTCTTCTGATTTCACCAGGGGACCTGGGTGGGCCAGGAGGGAAGGTTTTCTGTGGACTCCTAGGAAGAGAGGTTGTGACTTTAGAAGGCATCTCTCTTTATCATCCCATCCATGGCACCTAGAATGAGTGAGGCTTCCCCTCGCTGGTGTCTTATCTCTCTCCTTCCTCTCTGTGTCTTCATGTTCTTTTCTGTGCCCATAACTCCTGGTACAGGTCCTTCCATCTGTCTCCCTCCCTCTTCTCTGTCCCTCTGTCTCTAGTAGCTCCTGATTCCCTTGCCGCTGGGCTCAGCCTCATCTCTTGGGCTGTTGTATCTATTTCGAACTAATGTCTTTCCTGCTTCTATGTGGGGGTGGAAGAGGAACCAGGATAGGCTGCACGTCCAGGCTCTTAGCAGACTGGTTCAATCTCTTTTGGACGATTTGGAATCCTTGGCAGAAGGTATGAACTGATCAGTAAGGCAGGCACCAGTGTCCACACACCCTGTTCCTGGTGGGGACTGGGAGCCACTCTTGCCATGCCTGTGCCTTCTCCATGGTGCCAGCTTCCATAGGCTGGCTTCTGGTGCTGGTTTGAGGAGTATCAACCCCTCCCTATGTGGATGGAGCCTGGTGGTGGCATCATCATCCCACCCTTGCTGATCTCGGTGTAGCCAACCTTCTCTTTGTTTGGTTTCTTTAATTAATTAATTAATTTTGGAGTCAGAGTCTCACTCCTTCACCCAGGCTGGAGTGAAGTGGTGTGGTCTAGGCTCACTGCAACCTCTGTCTCCTGGGTTCAAGTGATTCTCCTGCCCTCAGCCTCCTGAGTTGCTAGGATTACATGCACCTGCCACCACGCCCGGCTATCCTTGTGTCCTTTCTTATCTTGTCCTTGACCTGGGTTCCAGTGTTGGTTTCCTGTTGGTGCTGTGGAAAATTATCAGAAGCATGGCAGCAGGAGAGAGCACACTGACCCCTTCCGTTTCTGGAGACAGAAATCGGACCCTGTTTTTTGAGGGCTAAAATCAAGGCATCTGCAGGGCTGCGTTCCCTCTGGAGACCCAGGAGAATCAGTTCCTTGACTTTTCCAGCCTCTATAGGCCACCTGCATTCATGGCTCATGGCCTTCCTCCACCTTCAAAGCTGATGGAGACTTCCATTGCACTGCTCTAATCGCCACTCCCCTCTTCCTTCTCCTCTCATGTGCACCCTTGTGATTACACTGAGCCCAGCAGGACAGTCCAGGCTGTCTCCCCATCTCAAGGTCAACTCAACAACCTGAGCTCCATCTTCCCCTTCAGTGCCTTCCCCTATAACATAAATAGTCACAGACTGCAGGGATTAGAATGCAGTCATCATTGGGGACAATTATTCTTTCCACCACAGCACCCATTTCCCTGTATTCAATCCCCTTTTACCCCAAATACAGTTAGGGTCTGGATGATGGGACGCTGGTGGACACTCCCACCAGAAGCTCTGGGACTCAGGAGGTGGGACAAGGAGAATCCCAGACAGGAGCCCTCTGACCTGTGACCATGATCACCAGGGGGTTGCTGGGTGCTGACCACCCAGTGAGGAAGTGTGGGTGTGAACCCCGACATCTGTAGGTCCCTGCATGTGCTGGGGTCACAGGGCCTATGAAAACGGTGTTTCGGAATACTCTGTTGTAGAGCTCAGGGACAGGCATCCCGTCTTCTTTGGACAGACTGAATTCGTTAAACCCAAGACGAGAGCGACACTGAAGAGCCACATGTTCTCCTTCAGACACCACAGGGCTGGGCCAGGCAGAGAGGAAGGGCTTGTCCTGACCACCTGGGGGAGAAGGAGGCGCCACCTTAGAGAGGAGGATGTGGCACTCCCTCCCTCTATTCCTTTCCAGGACTCACCAACACACGCCATGCTGACGACCATGAGCGACATGGTGCTGCCGGTGCAGACAGGCGGCCGCGCCCCAGCTCAGCTCAGCAGCGCACAGGATGTTATTTGGCGCCCTGCCCATGCAGCTTACATGTTGACTACATCATGGGAGGGTGACGTACGCAGGCTCTTTCTACCTTGCATGAGGCCCAGTGGATGCTTGCTCAAGAGCGGAACACGGCTTCCTGGAAATTGTTCTCACTAGAATTGGCACCTCACGTCCTTCACTATGACCAACTCACAACACGTCTCAGATCCAACCTCCCGAACACAAGATGCCTAAAATCTGTGCTAACGTGAAAGACTTTTCATGTATTTTTATCCGAACACGAGATGCCTAAAATCTGTGCTAACATGAAAGACTTTTCATGTATTTTTTTTGTTTTTATCTGAGATTCAAACTCTTCTTCCTGTGTAATATGCAAAGTATCTAATAGGTATTATTAATGTTTTCGGAGTCATTGTGACTAATAAACCATTAGAATTTTTCATGCTTGTATTTCTAGTATTACAGCAGAACCAGCTAAAATGATTTAAATTCCCAGGGAAGGATTATGCAATTATTTACAATCTTAGAATTGTACTTTATCAGCAAAAACCACACCTGTAAATTCTGGAGTTTTGTAGTTTAATCTAAAATTTGTCTCATGACCCAAGATTCCAGAGTCCCAACTCTGGAGTTTGCTCTCTGTCTGTCTCTCTCCCTCCCTCGTTTTAAATTTTACAGAAATATCCAGTAACATAATGCTATAGAAAATCAAGTTTTCCCCAGCACGTTGGGAAGCCGAGGTGGGCGGATCAACTGAGATAAGGAGTTTGAGAGCAGCCTGGCCAATATAGTGAAACCGTGTCTCTGTTAAAAATCCAAAAATTAGCCGTGCCTGGTGGCAGGCACCTGTAACGCCAGCTACTCAAGAGGCTGAGGCACGAGAATCGCTTGAACCTGGGAGGCGGAGGTTGCAGTGAGCTGAGATTGTGCCACTGCAGTCCAGCCTGGGCGACAGAGCAAGACTCCGCCTCAAGAAAAAAAAAGCAAACAGCCTATAATAACAAATTAGAGGGCTCTGGCTACTAAATTTAAAGGGTTCTATAAGGCTACATAAAGTGCAGCATCATCAAGAGTGTGGACACAGAGAGCCCCTTAGCAGAAACAGTGTCTAAAATACATCCATGTACACACAGTCCCTTTAGAGTTGACAAAGGCTGCCGTGTGGTTTAAGGTGGCATAGAATGTCTTCTCAATAAATAATATTAAACCAATTGGTTACACCTAGGAAAAAATAAATCTAACTCACACTATAAAAACACTTCTTAGTTTTTATCTAGTTGTACATTTTTTATGATTTATATTTAAATTTGAGAAATAAAAGTCATATACGGTCATCCTTCACTATTCGTGGGTGATTGGTTTTGAGATCTCCACTCAGATACCAAAATCTGTAGATGCTCAAGCCTCTTATATGAAATGGCACAGCGTTTGCAAATAACCTATGCACATCCTCCTGTATACATGAAATCATCTCTAGATTACTTATAATTCCTGATACAGCCTACACACAGCTTCATTTGTGTCCATTCAACATAGTTATGCTTTTTGAAACTCTGTGGATACTTTCTCTCAATATTTTTGATTTATACTTGGTTCAATAAACACCTGTAAACCCCGCAGATATGGAGGAGTGACCGTATATTTATATTATGAAAGATGATGTGTTGATATGTGTCCCCATGGAGATGAGACTAACAAGGCCTATGATTCTACAAATGTTTCATTGTGGAATGACTCTGCCAGCTTTCCAGGTCTGCAGAGAGTAAGAGTATCACTTGTTCATATGATTCGTGATCCTTGGAACCTCCTATGTGCTACATCTTTGGATGGAAATTGGAGTCCCAGAGACAAATGAGGCTCCACCCTGCTTCCAGAAACTCAGAGTCCGGGGATGAGAACTCAGTGGGGAACAGATGGGATTATATGGACATGGTACTGATAACACCGGAAGCCTTAGGCAAGAAAAGAGTCCCATTACCGAAACCATGGGGGCAGACATGTTTATTTGAAGGATGGAAAACTACATTGAAGTTATTTTAAAAAATATATAAGTTTTACTGCTGACAGAAGACTGAAAGCTAGTCTGAGGGGAGGTGGAACAGCATGAGGGAAGGTGGAACAACACGTGTCTAAGTGCTGCGTTAAGAGGGAGCCTCTTGTATGTTTGGAATTGTGAGTTCCTCAGTGTGATTGCAGCCTCAAGTAGACTAGGAAGTAAGCCAGTTAGGTTGGAGAGGTGGGCAGGGGTCAAGTGAAATGGAGAACTGTGGGCTAAGCAAAGGAGTGTGTTTTTTCTCCAGCAGGCAGTGGGGACCTTAGACATTTGTAAGCAAGTGAGAGGCACATTCAGATTTGTGGTGTGAGGAAGATCGATGCCCTAAGATGCAGACTCATGCCTTCAGATTCCAGCTGCTGGTACATGGGAGCTGGCAACCCGGTTTTGAGACAGGGCTGTTGTCTCCCTAGAAGACGCCCTCAAGGCCTGACTGTGGTGCTCATGGGCAGGAGACAACTTTGGATCTGGACTCAGCATTTGGAAGTTCCGTGTACACGATGATATCTGTTGGGGGTGTCTTGGGCCTCTGAGAAGGGCGAGTGATTTTTCTCTGTGTGAAAACGCAGTGATTCAACTGTGTGTATGTCACCTCCTGAGGGTCTTGTTCATCAGAGTCCTGGAGAGAGGGAAATGCTGAGTGAGGGAGGGTGCTCACATTTTCCAGGACTCTTTGGGAATAACAGTAGCCACGAGCCCGGGCCGAGGAGTACCTACCTCGCTATTCGCTGTTCTGTTTCCTGCAGACTCTTGGTCCATTACCGCAGCATCTGTAGAAGACGGAAGTCAACAAAACAGCTCGGAGGGCACTTCTGGGTCCTCATTTCATAAGCAGATACCAACATACAGGGGGAGACCATAGGTGGCTGAGGTCCCTCAGTTGCCAACAGCAGACTCAGACATTCTATCTCTCTGAGCTCAAGGACCCATCCCATGAATAGCTCTGAGTTCCCATCCCATTGATTCTGTCTCCCACTTTCTGCCTGTCATGGAACCTTCTCCTGGATGTGAGTGGCTGCAGGGGACATGAGGATACAGTTCAGAATCAGGCAACGGTCTGTGAGTTGAAGGCAGGGACAGGGAGTCTGGTGCCCTCTCTAGAAAGTCCTGCCTCTGTGGCTGCTGCCTTGGGCCAGGGACCATCCTGTTTGTGAGGAACACACACCTGAGTGCTCCCATCCTGCTTCCCCACATGGCCCTGAGCTCTCTGGCCTCTGCTTCGTGAGACTTACTTTTTTTGTTGGAGCACCAGCGATGAAGGAGAAAGAAGAGGAGGATGAAGAGGATGATGACCACTGAGGTCCCAATCAGAATGTGCAGGTGTCGGGGGTTACCTGGAAGAAGATGAGACACCAATAAGAAGCTAATCTTAGCAGTTCCTCTTTATGAATTGTCTCGCATTTCTTGATTGACAGGTAACCACATAAAACACCTCTTTAGGACAAGCACCCAGATGGCAGGAGACCCAGCTTTCTCCTGCTTTTTCAGTTATAGCTCTCATAGTAACCATAGAACGTGCTGAGGATACGACTACTTTAGTTGAGATGTTTGACCCCTTCAAACCTCACATTGAAATTTCACCCCCACTGTGGGAGGTTGGGCCTCTTGAGAGGTGTTTGGGTCATGGAGGTGGATCCATCATGAACACATCAATGCTGTCCCAAGGAGACGGGGTTAGCAAGTTCCCCCTCTATTAGTTCCCGGAGAGCTGGTTGTTAAAAAGAGCTTGGAAGCTCCATCACTCCCCCTCCCCCTTGCTCCCTCTCTTGCCGTGTGATCTCTGTGGTCTCTGCACAGACAGACCCTCCTTCCCTTCTGCCAGAGTGGGAGCAGCCTGAGGCCGTCACGAGAAATAGATGCTGGTGCCATGCTTCCAGTACAGCCTGCAGAACGGTGAGGCAAACCAATCTCTTTTCTTTAGAAGTTACCGAGGCTCAAGTGTTCCTTTAGAGCAACAAAAATGGCCTAAGACAGCAACTTCCTGAGATCAGGAGGAACGTCTCAGAACACCCTGGGCTGTCTTCCTGTTCTTCCTGGAGGACGTCATGCAGTGCTTTAGCTGAGTGCTTCCTGTGGCTCCAGGGTACAAAACCCAGGCTGGGCTGCTTTCTGGCTTCCCCCAGCTACACTGCAAATGGGGTGACTCCATATGTCCCGAGCAGCTTTTCTGAGCCTTGAGGGACTGGGTCACATTGAAATATAGGTTTCTGTTGTCACTCGCTGCTTATCTGTTAGTAATGAACCTGCCTATGTAACGTATTCTCTGTGTGTTCTGTCTCCCTGGAGTGACGGTGAGTGATAGGAATTGGCATAGGCCCAGGTGCAGTCCAGGAGGTGTTTAGAGTCTTCTCTGGGAAGACTGGACTGGGATTGATTCACAGCGAATGTGCTTTAGGGTTTCTACATCCACAGCATTCTTGAATCAAACAACTTGCATTCTCCAAGGAAAGAAAACAAAAGTGAAATCAAGATAAAAAAAGCGAAATAGAATTCTCTTATGTCAAACGGCCAGGAAATAGTGTTGAAGCCCGTGTGAAACCTGCTGCTCTTTGTGATCTCGGGAGACACATATTAGGCTGCTGTTCTACCCGAGAGGCTGGGGGAAGGACCACCCCCTCGGCCATCTATTGCTTCAAAACCACCTGTCCTCCTGTGAATTAGTAGGAAAGGGGAGCAGGAGCTAGTGCTGTCGCTGATCTCTGATTCCAAGATCTGGACTCACTCCAAGGAGTGTTAATGTTTACCTCCCCATGGTCTATCTGAATCTCCACAGGTGATTGGAAGTAGGGGTGAGGTGGGGGATTTGGGTGAGTGGGCAAGTTTTTTTTGTGATGACCAGAGCACTTTCTCTATTCCAGGATCTGTGCTGGAGGATTCAGCGGGCTTTCACATTTTCTATATGATCTCATGCTCACAGAAAGCCAAATAGGGAAGAGGTTTTAGGCTCATTGCCTAATGGATAAGATAAAGGATCAAAGAAGTAATTATAGAGAAATAGAAAAATCATGATTGGAATTCAGGTGCCTTTGTCATTCGTGTGTGTTTTATTATATTTATGTATTTCTTATTTTTATTTTTTGAGATAGAGTCTCCTTGTGTCCCCCAGGCTGGAGTGCAGTGATGCAATCTCCACTCACTGCAACCTCCACCTACTGGGTTGAAGTCATTCTCCTGCTTCATCCTCCAGAATAGGAGCTGGGATTACAGGGATGCACCATCGTGCTCGGCTAATTTTTGTATTTTTAGTAGAGATAGGGTTTCACCACGTTGGCCAGGCTGGTCTGGAACTCCTGACTTCATGGAATCCACCCACCTTGGCCTCCTGCAGTGCTAGGTTACAGGTGTGAGCCACTGTTCACAGACTTGTATATTATGCTATAATAAGTCTCTTCATTTCCACCACCACTCATATATCTGTCACTCCTTTGCCAGGTATTGATTTATGTGTAGGATGAATAAATCTCAGAAAGAAATTAATTAAGTGAGGATTAAACAAGTAGGAAAATCAAACCCAGTAAGCCTTTCCAGTCAATGATTCTACCTCACAAACATATCTTATATCCATCTACTTCATTCATTTAGTGTCTAAATCAGCACCACATTTCACCAGTGGGGCGGCAATTGCCTTTTCCACGGTCTCCTAGATTCCAGTTATGCACCTGGGCCTCCCTTATTTTCATGTCAGTCATATTAATCATGTAGGGATTCCTGGTTACCCCGAGGTGAATCCAATGGCTGTGAGTGTCAAGCACACACTCCTTGTTCCTCCTTAGTTTCCTGTGTACCCAGTGTGCTCTCCGTCTCTCTACAGTCGTCTTGTCATTCTCCCCACCTCATTCCCAGCATTTGAGTCAGAGCCTCTTCCTTCCACATCAGATTGTTTTCACCTTTGTGCCTTCATGGCTGACAGCTGTGTGTGCAAAATCCTTCCGCCAATCTTTCAGGGGTTCATTCCGTGTTTTTCATTAATGTCACAAATATCTGAATAGTGAGACCTTCTTTGTCACCTGAAATCATACACTCAGCATTATCTATTATTGATTTTGAATTCTGGCTGGGCACAGTGGCTCACGCCTGTAGTCCCATTACTTTGGCATGCTGAGACGGTCGGATCACTTGAGGTTGGGAGTTTCAGACAAGCTTGGCCAACGTGGTGAAACATCCTCTCTACAAAAAATATACAAAAAGAATTAGCCGGGCACGGTGGCAGTTGCCTGTAATCCCAGCTACTCGAGAGGCGGAGGCAGGAGAATCCCTTGAATCCAGGAGACGCAGGTTGCAGTGAGCCAAGATCGTGACACTGCACTGTAGCCTGGAAGACAGAGGGCGACTCTGTCTCAATAAACAAAAGAACAAACAAAAAATAGATTTCATGCACAGATGCTTCCCAATGGACCATTCATTTATAGATCCACTTGTGCGTTCATTTTCTGCCCTCCCATTTAACCATCTGCAATATCAGTGTCCCAAGGGCAGAGGCCAAATGCATCTTGTTCACTGTTTGTGGAAGGCAGGAGAATGCTGTCCCACCCCAAAATGTCCCTGTCCTAGCCTCCACAGCTTGTGAATATGTTATTTTACATGGAAAGGAGGAATGAAGATTGCAGATGGAATTATGGTTGCTAATCAGCTGAACTTAAAACAAGGGTATCCTGGATGATTTCCAGGAGATTATGAGGGATTTTCATCTTGGTGAACCCAATAGAATCCCCAAGTTTTCAAAAGATGAGGAAGAAGGGAGAGCAGCACTCAGAGAAAGAGGTGTGGTAAGGAAGAAGGCACTGAGTGATGCCATGTGAGATGTGACCAGTCTTTGTGGGCTTTGAGGAAGGAGGAAGGGGACCAGGAGCCAAGGAACTGGGAGCCTTTAGAAGCTGGGACAAGTGAGAAGCAGATTCGTGCCTGGAATCCTCAGAGGGAAGGCAGCCTTGCTGTCACCTTGATTTTAGCCCAGTAAGATGCACTTCCTACTTTGAGCTACAGCACTGTAAGATAATTAAAAAACCGTTTTGTTTTCACCCACGAATCTTGTGGAAATTTGTTATGGCAACAATAGGAAAAGGTTCCACACTGCACAGCCTGAGCATGGGGCCGTGGCTGAATGAGTCAGTGAGTCGAAGTGTGCGTGCATGAGCTCTGTTCTCTGTTACGGCAAGGCTCTTTCTCTGCGGAGTCAGCCAGGGTTGCTTCATGACCTACAGGAGCTCATTCCTTGGCAAGTGGAACTTCTCTAAAACACCTTGCCCTCATCAGATGTTCCCTTCCCTTCCCTCTCTCAAGTCTCCAGGAATTTATCCTCCAGTTAGGAATGCAGGTAGAACAAACATTGCATTTTTCCTGAGAAGGATGTCAGATTGGCAATCATTCTTCTAGCTTGTAGGAGGTCTCAGCTCCATAAAATGAGAGATGAAGAGATTTCACTGAGCCCTGTGTTGGGCCCAGATCCCTTTCGCTGTAGGAGTATCTGGAGTTCGGAGATGGTGGAAGACAAGTGTACAATGTCAGAGCTGTGAGATGCTGAGTCAACGCCTGAATCCAAGGTTCCCACCTCCCCAGGGTTCCAAAAGCGGATATAAGAGGGTTCTGTACTCACCGGTTTTGGAGCTTGGTTCAGTGGGTGAAGGCCAACTATTTGAAGGGTTTCCTAGAACATGAGACAGGAGAGAGGTGAGGAAATGAGGGTGTCTGTCCTCCACTCAGTGGAAATCTTTGAGGATGGTTCATGGCCAACACTCTCTTATCTAATATTGGGCCCTGGGAGTCCTGGGATCCTTTTTTCCATAATTTTTTTATATGACACCCACTGTCTTGAGACTTCAAGATATAAAGAGAAAACAGGAGCATCACACTACCTGATCTCAAAATATGTTACAGAGCTGTAGTAAGCAAAATAGCATGACATTGGCATAAAGAAAGGCACATAGAACAACGGAGCAGAATGAATAACACAGATATATTCCATGCATTTACATCCAATGGTTTTTTATTTTTTCTTTTGAGATGGAGTCTTGCTCTGTCACTCAGGCTGGAGTGCAGAGGTGCAATCTCGGTTCACTGCAACCTCAGCCTCCTGGGTTCAATCATTCTCTTGCCTCAAATTCCTGAGTAGTGGTATTACAGGTGCTGACCACCATGCTCAGCTAATTTTTATATTTTTAGTGGAGACGATGTTTCATCACGTTGGCCAGACTAATCTTGAACTCCTGGCCTCAGGTGATCCACCCACCTCGGGCTCCCAAAGTGCTGAAATTGCAGGTGTTAGCCACCAAGCCCAGCCCATCCAATGGACTTTGACAAAGATGCCAAGAACTCACAATCAGGAAAGGACAGTCTTTTCAATAAACAGTGCAGGGAAACCTGGACATCTACATGCAGAGGAATGAAACTGCAACTCTACCTGTCACCATACACAAAAATCAAATGAAAATGGATTAAAGATGTGAGTCTAAGGCCTGAACCTATGAAACACGTAGAACAAAATATTGGGGAAATGCTCCAGGACGTTTGTCTGAAGGAAGACATTTTGTTTTAAACCTTCAAAACACAAGTAATCGAAGCAAAAATAGACCATTGGGATTACCTCAAACTAAGCAACTTCAGCACTGCTAAAAATAAACCAACAAAGTGAAGAGACAACCCACAGATTGGGAGCAAATATGTGCAAACTATGCATCTGAGATGGGATTAATAACTAGAAATATAAGAAGCTCAAACAACTCAATAAAACAAATGATTTAATTGAAAAAGGAGCAAAAGACATGAAATTTCCCCACATACGAAAAAGTGCTCAGTATCACTCATCATCAGAGAAACGCAAATTAAAATCAAAGTGAGTTTTCATCTCACCCCATTAAAATGGCTTTTAGGCCGGGTGAGGTGGCTCACTTGTGTCATCCTAGAACTTTGAGAACCTGAGGTGGGTGAATCTCATAAGGTTGGGAGTTTGAGACCAGTCTGACCCACATAGAGAAACGCTGTCTCTACTAAAAATACAAAAATTAGTAGGGCGTGGTGGCGTGTGCCTGTAATTCCAGCTACTCGGGAGGCTGAGGCAGGAGAATCGCTTGAACCTGGGAGGTGGAGGTTGTGGTGAGCCGAGATAGCGCCACTGCACTCCAGCCTGGGTGAGAAGAGCAAAACTCCATCTCAAAATAAAATGAAATAAAATAAAATGGCTTTTAGCTGCAAGACAGGCAAAAGAAATGCTGGCAAGGTGGTAGAGAAAGGAGAACCCTGGTACCCTGTTGGGAGGAGTGTAAATTAGTACAGCCATTACGGAGAAAAGTATGGAAGTCCTTTAAAGAACTAAAAAGAGGTTGGGTGAGGTGGATCATGCCTGTAATCCCGGCACTTTGGGAGACTGAGGCGGGCACCTCAGTTGAGGTCATGAGTTTGAGAGCAGCCCAGCCAACATGGGGAAACCGCATCTATACTAAAAAAACCAAAAAGTAGCCAGGCATGGTGGTGTGCACCTGTAATCCCAGCTACTAGGGAGGCTGAGGCAGGAAAATCATTTGAACCCAGGAGGCGGAGGTTGCAATGAGCCAAGGTTGCACCACTTTGACTCCAGCTTGGGCTAAGGAGGGAAACTCTTTCTCAAAAAAGAAAAAAAAAAAAAAAAAGAGAACTTTCATAGTATCCAGCAATTTCACTACTGGGTTTATATCCAAAGGAAAGTAAATCAACATATCGAAGTGATATCTGCACTCGTATGATTGGTGCAGCACTGTTCACAGTAGCCAAGATGAGGAGTCAACCTACCTGCCCATCAGTGGGTGAATGGATAGAGAGAATGTAGTACATACGCACAGTGGAGACTACTCATCCATAGAAAGAATAACATCCTGTCATTTGCAGCCACATGGATGGAACTGGAGGTCATTAAAAAGATTCCCATTTCTCACCCATATACAGGAGCTAAAAGGTGGATCTCATGAAGGTAGAGAGTAGAATGGTGGCTACTGGAGGACAGGAAGAAAAGGGTGGAGGGTAAAAAAAATGTATATATATATATATATAAAAATGTATTTATGACCACTAGACTTTACACTTAAAAATGGTAAATGTGGCTGGGCCTGGTGGCCCATGCCTGTAATCCCAGCACTTTGGGAGGCTGATGCGGGTGGATCACGTGGTCAGGAGTTCGAGACCAGCTCGACCAACATGGTGAAACCACCTCTCTACTAAAAATACAAAAAGTAGCCTGGCGTGGTGGTGCGTGCCTGTAGCACTAGCTACTCAGGTGGCTGAGGCAGGAGAATCGCTTGAACCCAGGAGGCGGAGGTTGCAGTGAGCTGAGATTGTGCCACTGCACTCCATCATAGGGGACAGAGCTAGACTCCACCTCAAAAAAAAATGTTAAAAGTGGTAAGCTATATAGGTATATTTATCCTCAATAAATATTTCTTCAAAGAAAAGTAAAGGGTGTAGGGGTTGCTGGTGATGACATCTCTGTGTGGGTGAGAGGCCAGGATGGGCTTCTGGGAAATGGGTAAGGTTGAGGGGCTGAGGGAACCTCTGATCTCCCCAAACTGAGCCCAGTCTCCCTCCTCTGGGTCTCTCCTGACCGCTTTCTCCATCTGCCTGGGTGCCTGGAGCCCTGGCCGTGGGCCTCCATGCAGGCCATGTAGGAGGGTTTGGAGGTGCCCTGTCGGCCATCCTGTGCCCTGATCCCTCCCTCACACCGAGGCTGCGTCTTCTCTCTGCATCTGTCCATGCTTCTCTCCATCCTCAGCAGGAAGCTCCTCAGCTAAGGCTCTAGGATCATAGGACATGGGACAGCCATGGGCTTTCCTCACCTGTGACAGAAACAAGCAGTGGGTCACTTGACTTTGACCACTCGTATGGAGAGTCATGGAAAGAGCCGAAGCATCTGTAGGTCCCTCCGTGGGTGGCAGGGCCCAGAGGAAAGTCAGCCTGGAATGTTCCGTTGACCTTGGGCCCTGCAGGGAGCCTACGTTCATGGGCCTCCCCTTCCCTGGATAGATGGTACATGTCATAGGAGCTCCGGGAGCTGCAGGACAAGGTCACATTCTCTCCTGCCAGAACCGTGGGGCCCGGCTGGGCTGAGAGAGAAGGTTTCTCATATAGACCTGGAAGGAGAAGAGGCAGTTTCCTCAGGGAGGATCTTCTTTGTCACAGCTCCCTTCACCTGAGCTGAGAACTCACTCCCCTGTTCTATGACCTAATGCTCTCTCTCTCTCTCTCTCACCCTCTACCCCATCGCTCTTCATGTCTATTTCCTCCTTCCACCTTCTCTGTCTCTCTAGGTCTCTGACCTCACTTCCCCACCTCTAGATATGTTTTCTCTTTTTGGATTGTTTTATTCTCTCTGACTCTCCTTGGATTGGTTGACTTGATGTTACTTTTTTTAATTCTGAGTTTCTCACTTTGTGTCCTGTTCATAACTTTCTGCATATTTCTATCTATTATCTATCGATCTATCTATTTATCTATTCGGTGCCTATCTACAAATTCTCTACCTGTCATCTATATCTATATATCATCTATTTATCCATCAATTGTCTATCTATCCATCAATCATCTATTATCTATATCTATGTATCATCTCTCTCTCTCTATGATTTCTCTATGTCTGCCTCTGTATCTCTATGTATTATCTATCTATCTGTCTTCATCATCATCATCTCTATGTCTCATCTATTAATGAATCAATCAATCATCATCTATGTATCTATAACCTATTATCTATCATCTACCTATTTATCATCTATCTATATCTATCCATCTATCATCTGTCTTGCTCTGCCTCTCGGTCTCTCTAGTTCTCTTTGGAATCTCTGCAATTCATCCCCACATCTCCATCTTTCAATGTCCTTGTGCCTCTCCCTCAGGAGTCTAATTTTAGTGCTTTTCTCTGCTCCCTTCCATCATTCTCACTTCTCTGCCCTCTTTTCTCTCTCTTTATGTGTCTGTGAGTCTCTCAATCTCCTTCCTCTGGCTCATTCTCTGTGTGTTTATGTCTTTGCTTTTTGGTGTCCCTGATTTCTCTCTGTGCCTCCCACTGATCCTCTCATAAGTGGGCTTATTTGGAATATGAGCCTCAGAATCCAGTCTGGAGACTACAAGTTCACACAGCATACAGGGGTTGGTGTTGTGGGGCCATGATATCCTGGGACGATTACTCTCCATTACATGGAAGGCAGAGGTGTCAGAATAAACATGGCATCTGTAGGTGCCACAAGGCCTGAGGCCACAGGGCCCAACTCAGGTCAGAAATATGGGTGTCCTTGGGTTCTCCTGGTAGAGAACACTTTGTGGAGGTAAAACAGAAATGAAACTTCTAACCTGTGCCAGGTCTCTGAGCAAAGTCAGCATGGAGGGACACCTCTCTCTGGGACATGTCTGTCTGTGTGTCTCCTTTAACTCTTTCTGTCTTTTCTAACTCCCGGTATGGCCCCTGTGTCTGTTCTCTGTTATGACACCTGGTCTGTACTTGTGTCTCCTGTTTCTCTGTCTCTGTTGGCACAGACCTCACCAAGTCAGTCTCTCTCCATAAGAATACCAAGCTCATCTTCCTTACAGCCACCTGGGTCTCCAATTCCTGGATCATTCACTCTGCATCCCAATGACAATGAGAAGAAAGTCTGGACACTCTCACCTATGATCACGATGTCCAGAGGGTCACTGGGAGCTGACACCTGATAGGGGGAGTGAGTAACAGAACCGTAGCATCTGTAGGTCCCTGCCAGGTCTTGCGTCATGCGACTGATGGAGAAGTTGGCCTTGGAGACCCCATCATGGTGTTCTCCAATGAGGCGCAAAGTGTCGTTAAACATCCCCTCTCTGTGCAGAAGGAAGTGTTCAAACATGACATCTGACCAACATTGCAGGATGACTGTCTCTTCTGATTTCACCAGGGGACCTGGGTGGGCCAGGAGGGAAGGTTTTCTGTGGACTCCTAGGAAGAGAGGTTGTGAGTTTAGAAGGTGTCTCTCTTTATCATCCCATCCATGGCACCTGGATTGAGTCAGGCTTCCCCTTCCTGGTGTCTTATCTCTCTCCTTCCTCTCTGTGTCTTCATGTTCTTTTCTGTGCCCATAACTCCTGGTGCAGGTCCTTCCATCTGTCTCCCTCACTCTTCTCTGTCCCTCTGTCTCTAGTAGCCTCTGATTCCCTTGCCGCTGGGCTCAGCCTCATCTCTTGGGCTGTTGTATCTATTTCGAACTAATGTCTTTCCTGCTGTCTATGTGGGGGTGGAAGAGGAACCAGGATAGGCTGCACATCCAGGCTCTTAGCAGCCTGGTTCAATCTCTTTTGGACGAATTGGAATCCTTGGCAGGAGGTATGAACTGATCAGTAAGGCAGGCACCAGTGGCCACACACCCTGTTCCTGGTAGGGACTGGGAGCCACTCTTGCCATGCCAGTGCCAGCTTCCATAGGCTGGCTCCTGGTGCTGGTTGGAGGAGTATCAACCGCTCCCTATGTGGATGGAGCCTGGTGGTGGCATCATCATCTGAGCCTTGCTGATCTCAGTGTAGCCAACCTTCTCCTTGTTTGGTTTCTTTAATTAATTAATTAATTTTGGCGACAGAGTCTCACTCCTTTGCCCAGGCTGGAGTGAAGTGGTGTGGTCTAGGCTCACTGCAACCTCTGTCTCCTGGGTTCAAGTGATTCTCCTGCCCTCAGCCTCCCAAGTCGCTAGGATTACATGCACCTGCCACCATGCCTGGCTATCCTTGTGTTGTTTCTTAACTTGTCCTTGACCTGGGTTCCAGTGTTGGTTTCCTGTTGCTGCTGTAGAAAATTATCAGAAGCATGGCACCAGGAGAGAGCACACTAACCCCTTCCAATTCTGGAGACAGAAATCGGACCCTGTTTGTCGTGGGTAAAATCAAGGCACCTGCAGGGCTTCGTTCCCTCTGGAGACTCAGGAGAATCAGTTCCTTGACTTTTCCAGCCTCTATAGGCCACCTGCATTCATGGCTCCTGGACTTCCTCCACCTTCAAAGCTGGTGGAGTCTCCCATTGCGCTGCTGTAATCCCCACTCCCCTCTTCCTCCTCCTTTCATGTGGACCCCTGTGACTACACTGAGCCCATCAGGACAGTCCAGGCTGTCTCCCCATCTCAAGGTCAACTCATCAACAACCTGAGCTCCATCTTCTCCTTCAGTCCCTTCCCCTATATCATAAATAGTCACAGACTCCAGGGATTAGAATGTAGTCATCACTGGGGACAATTATTCTTCCCACCACAGCACCCATTTCCCTGTATTCAATCCCCCTTTACCCCAAATACAGTCAGGACTTGCATGATGGGACCCGCAAGGACACGCCCACCAGGAGCTCTGGGATTCAGGAGGTGGGACAAGGAGAATCCCAGACAGGAGCCCTCTGACCTGTGACCGTGATCTCCAGGGGGTTGCTGGGTGCCGACCACCCACTGGGGTAGTGTGGTTGTGAACCCCGACATGTATAGGTCCCTGCGTGTGCTGGGGTCACAGGGCCCATGAAAAGGCTGTTCCAGAATATTATGTTGTAGAGCTCAGGGACAGGCACCCCATCTTCCTTTTACAGACTGAAGTTGTTAAACCCAAGATAAGAATGACACTGAAGAATCACATGTCCTGGAGGCACCACAGGGCTTGGCCAGGCAGACAGCAAGGGCTTGTCCTGACCACCGTGGGGAGAAGGAGGCACCGCCTTAGAGAGGAGGATGTGGAGCCGCCCCTCCCTCCCTGTGCTCTGAAGATTCTCCTCGCTTTCCAAGTTTCTATGGCTGCTATCACACCTTGGTGCCCAGGGCTAAAGGAAGGACCCATCCCGCAAACACAAGGTGTCTCCCTACAACAAAAGTGTCAGCTGAGAACTTTGAGCAAGTGCTGAGTAAGAGACTCCTACTAGATTTTAATACTGTAAGATTACTCACATAAAACAACACAGGGTAGACATGGGGTGGAGGGCATGTCCTTTGAGAATGGAATATCAGCCGATGCCTGAACGAAAATAAACAACTGAGTCCCCATCAGAGGATTGGAATGTCAGGGCCATGGCTGTGGTTTTCCCACCTCTTCTGGTAGAATGACAGCAGCCACACTGCAGCCCCTACCGTCATGGAAACGCTGAAGTGTGTGAGTAACACCTTTGTCCTCAGAGGATCTGCTGTTCCTACCACTTCCCCACCACACACCCCAGCTTTGAGCACCGTAGTCTAACCCTGGTCCCCACAGAACTTGACTCTGCCAAGGGAATGAAAGGCCAGGGAGGCAAGGTCAGAAATGTGGGCCCAGCACCCCAGGGTCCCTTCTTCCTAGTTTATGAGAGACTCCCTGACAGGACTTCCCTCCCATTTCAGGAAAATCCTCTTATGTGGGGAGATGACACCCGAAGGTTTGGAGAAGGACTCACCCTCATGTGGCCAGGCCCCCTGCAGCAAGAAGAACCCTGGAAAGAAAGATCATGATGGATGACCCATCTGCAGGCAAACCAGGGCACCCTTGCTGCCCCCACTGGGCTGTGAGTCTTGGTAGCCAGGCCCTTCCTGGGCTGAAGGTAAACTCACCCTCAGTGCCTACCTGCACCCAAGAACAGGGCTGTCGGCTGTGCAGAGACCCAGCCTCCAGGTCCATATCCCCACCTCAAGCCCATATCTCCACTCCAGGCCCATATCTCCACTCCAGGCCGATATTTCCACCCTAAGCCCATATCGCCAATCCAGGCCCATATCTCCAATCCAGGCTCAGATCTCCACCCTGGGCCCATATCTCCAATCCAGGCCCTTATCTCCACTCCAGGTCCATATCTCCTCTCCAGTCCCGTATCTCCACTCCAGGCCCATATATCCTCTCCAGTCCCATATCTCCACACCCAGGCCCGTATCTCCATCCTAGGCACATATCTCCTCTCCAGGCCCAGATATCGACCTCTAGGCCCATATCTCCACTCCTGGCCCATATCTCCACTCCAGGCCCAGATATCGACCTCTAGGCCCATATCTCCACTCCTGGCCCATATCTCCACTCCAGGCCCATGTCTCCACTTCAGGCCCATATCTCTACTGCAGGCCCGTAACTCCACCTCCAGGCCCATGACTCCACTCCAGGCCCATATCTCCACCTCCAGGCCCATATCTCCCCTCCAGGTTCCTATCTCCCCTCCAGGTTCCTATCTCCACTCCAGGCCCAGATCTCCACTACAGTCCCATCACTCCACCTCCAGGCCTATATCTCGACCTCTGGGCCCAGATCTCCACTTCTAGGCCCATCACTCCATCTCTAGGCCCATATATCCACTCCAGGCCCAGATCTCCACTCCAGGCCCATAACTCCACCTCCAGGCCTATATCTCCACCTCTGGGCCCAGATCTCCATCCCCTCACTCCCTCCCTCTATTGCTTTCCAGGACTCACCAACACACGCCATGCTGACGAACAAGAGCGACATGGTGCTGCCGGAGCAGACAGGCAGCCGCGACCGAGCTCAGCTCAGCAGCGCACAGGATGTTATTTGGCGCCCTGCCCATGCAGTTTACATGTTGACCACATCATGGGAGGGTGACGTACGCAGGCTCTTTCTACCTTGCATGAGGCCCAGTGGGTGCTCGCTCAAGAGCGGAACACGGCTTCCTGGAAATTGTTCTCGCTAGAATTTGACACCTAGTGTCCTTCACTATGACCAACTCAAAACACGTCTGAGATCCAACCTCCCGAACACGAGATGCCTAAAATCTGTGCTAACATGAAAGACTTTTCATGTATTTCTATTGTTTTTATCTGAGATTCAAACTCTTCTTCCTGTGTAATATGCAAAATATCTAATAGGTATTATTAATGTTTTCAGAGTCATTGTGACTAACAAACCATTAGAATTTTTCATGCTTGTATTTCTAGTATTACAGCAGAACCAGTTAAAATGATTTAAATTCCCAGGGAAGGATTATGCAATTATTTACAATCTTAGAATTGTACTTTATCAGTAAAAACCCCACCTGTAAATTCTGGAGTTTTGTAGTTTAATCTAAAATTTGTCTCATGACCCAAGATTCCAGAGTCCCAACTCTGGAGTTTGTTTTCCGTCTGTCTCTCTCCCTCCCTCATTTTAAATTTTACAGAAATATCCAGTAACATAATGCTATAGAAAATCAAGTTTCCCCAGCACGTTGGGAAGCCGAGGTGGGCGGATCAACTGAGATAAGGAGTTTGAGAGCAGCCTGGCCAATATAGTGAAACCGTGTCTCTGTTAAAAATCCAAAAATTAGCCGTGCCTGGTGGCAGGCACCTGTAACGCCAGCTACTCAAGAGGCTGAGGCACGAGAATCGCTTGAACCTGGGAGGCAGAAGTTGCAGTGAGCTGAGATTGTGTCACTGCAGTCCAGCCTGGGCGACAGAGCAAGACTCCGCCTCAAGAAAAAAAAGCAAATAGCCTATAATAACAAATTAGAGAGCTCTGGCTACTAAATTTAAAGGGTTCTATAAGGCTACATAAAGTGCAGCATCATCAAGAGTGTGGACACAGAGAGCCCCTTAGCAGAAACAGTGTCTAAAGTACATCCGTGTACACACAGTCCCTTTAGAGTTGACAAAGGCTGCCGTGTGGTTTAAGGTGGCATAGAATGTCTTCTCAATAAATAATATTAAACCAATGGGTTATACCTAGGAAAAAATAAATCTAACTCACACTATAAAAACACTTCTTAGTTTTTATCTAGTTGTACATTTTTTATGATTTATATTTAAATTTGAGAAATAAAAGTCATATACGGTCATCCTTCACTATTCCTGGGTGATTGGTTTCGAGATCTCCACTCAGATACCAAAATCTGTAGATGCTCAAGCCTCTTATATGAAATGGCACAGAGTTTGCAAATAACCTATGCACATCCTCCTGTATACATGAAATCATCTCTAGATTACTTATAATTCCTGATGCAGCCTACACACAGCTTCATTTGTGTCCATTCAACACAGTTCTGCTTTTTGTAACTCTGTGGATACTTTCTCTGAATATTTTTGATTTATACTCGGTTCAATAAAGAACTGTAAACCCCACAGATATGGAGGAGTGACTGTATATTTATAGTGTGAAAGATGATGTGTTGATATGTGTCCCTGTGTAGATGAGACTAACAAGGCCTATGACTCTACAAATGTTTCATCTTGGAATGACTCTGCCAGATTTCCAGGTCTGCAGAGAGTAAGAATATCACTTGTTCATGTGATTCACGATCCTTGGAACCTCCTATGTGCTACATCTTTGGATGGAAATAGGAGTCCCAGAGACAAATGAGGCTCCACCCTGCTTCCAGAAACTCAGAGTCCGGGGGTGAGAACCCAGTGGAGAACAGATGGGGTTATGTGGACATGGTAATGATAACACTGGAAGTCTTAGGCAAGAAAAGAGTCCCATTACCGAAACCATGAGGGCAGACATGTTTATTTGAAGGAGGGAAAACTACATTGAAATTATTTTAAAAAATATATAAGTTT
Organism: Homo sapiens; assembly: GCF_000001405.40. Lineage (NCBI taxonomy): Eukaryota > Metazoa > Chordata > Mammalia > Primates > Hominidae > Homo > Homo sapiens. Next base: position 673,469 of record NW_003571054.1, on the reverse strand, counting down.
TACTGCTGACAGAAGGCTGAAAGATACTCTGAGGGGAGGTGGAACAGCATGAGGGAAGGTGGAACAGGACGTGTCTAAGTGCCGTGTTAAGAGGGAGCCTCTTGTATGTTTGGAACTGTGAGTTCCTCAGTGTGATTGCAGCCTCAAGTAGACTAGGAAGTAAGCCAGTAAGGTTGGAGAGGTGGGCAGGGGTCAAGTGAAATGGAGAATTGTGGGCTAAGCAAAGGAGTGTGTTTTCTCTCCAGCAGGCAGTGGGGACCTTAGACATTTGTAAGCAAGAGAGAGGCACATTCAGATTTGTGGTGTGAGGAAGAGCGATGCCCTAAGATGCAGACTCACGCCTTCAGATTCCAGCTGCTGGTACATGGGAGCTGGCAACCCGGTTTTGAGACAGGGCTGTTGTCTCCCTAGAAGATCCCCTCAAGGCCTGACTGTGGTGCTCATGGGCAGGAGACAACTTTGGATCTGGACTCAGCATTTGGAAGTTCCGTGTACACTCTGGTATCTGTTGGGGGTGTCTTGGGCCTCTGAGAAGGGCGAGTGATTTTTCTCTGTGTGAAAACGCAGTGATCCAACTGTACGTATGTCACCTCCTGAGGGTCTTGTTCATCAGAGTCCTGGAGAGAGGGAAATGCTGAGTGAGGGAGGGTGCTCACGTTTTCCAGGACTGTTTGGGAATAACACTAGCCACGAGGCTGGGCCGAGGAGCACCTACCTCGCTATTCGCTGTTCTGTTCCCTGCAGGCTCTTGGTCCATTACAGCAGCATGTGTAGGAGACGGAAGTCAACAAAAGAGCTCGGAGGGCACTTCTGGGTCCTCATTTCATAAGCAGATACCAACAAACAGGGGGAGGCCATAGGTGCCTGAGGTCCCTCAGTTGCCAACAGCAGACTCAGACATTCTATCTCTCTGAGCTCAAGGACCCATCCCATGAATAGCTCTGAGTTCCCATCCCATTGATTCTGTCTCCCACTTTCTGCCTGTCATGGAACCTTCTCCTGGATGTGAGTGGCTGCAGGGGACATGAGGATACAGTTCAGAATCAGGCAACGGTCTGTGAGCTGAAAGCAGGGACAGGGAGTCTGGTGCCCTCTCTAGAAAGTCCTGCCTCTGTGGCTGCTGCCTTGGGCCAGGGACCATCCTACCTGTGAGGAACACACACCTGAGTGCTCCCATCCTGCTTCCCCACATGGCCCTGAGCTCTCTGGCCTCTCCTTCGTGAGACTTACTTTTCTTGTTGGAGCACCAGCGATGAAGGAGAAAGAAGAGGAGGAGGATGAAGAGGATGATGACCACTGAGGTCCCAATCAGAACGTGCAGGTGTCTTGGGTTACCTGGAAGAAGATGAGACACCAATAAGAAGCTAATCATAGCAGTTCCTCTTTATGAATTGTCTCGCATTTCTTGATTGACAGGTAACCACGTAAAACACCTCTTTAGGACAAGCACCCAGATGGCGGGAGACCCAGCTTTCTCCTGCTTTCTCAGTTATAGCTCTCAAAGTAACCATAGAATGTGCTGAGGATACAACTACTTTAGTTGAGATGTTTGACCCCTTCAAACCTCACATTGAAATTTCACCCCCATTGTGGGAGGTTGGGCCTCTTGAGAGGTGTTTGGGTCATGGAGGTGGATCCATCATGAACAGATCAATGCTGTCCCAAGGAGACGGGGTTAGCTAGTTCCCCCTCTATTAGTTCCCAGAGAGCTGGTTGTTCAAAAGAACTTGGAAGCTCCATCGCTCCCCCTCCCCCTTGCTCCCTCTCTTGCCGTGTGATCTCTGTGGTCTCTGCACAGACAGACCCTCCTTCCCTTCTGCCAGAGTGGGAGCAGCCTGAGGCCATCACGAGAAATAGATGCTGGTGCCATGCTTCCAGTACAGCCTGCAGAACGGTGAGGCAAACCAATCTCTTTTCTTTAGAAGTTGCCCGGGCTCAAGTGTTCCTTTAGAGCAACAAAAATGGACTAAGACAGCAACGTCCTGAGATCAGGAGGAACGTCCCAGAGCAGCCTGGGCTGTCTTCCTGTTCTTCCTGGAGGAGGACGTCATGCAGTGCTTTAGCTGAGTGCTTCCTGTGGCTCCAGGGTACAAAACCCAGGCTGGGCTGCTTTCTGGCTTCCCCCAGCTACACTGCAAATGGGGTGACTCCATATGTCCCGAGCAGCTTTTCTGAGCCTTGAGGGACTGGCTCACATTGAAATGTAGGCTTCTGTTTTCACTCGCTGCTTATCTGTTAGTAATGAACCTGCCTATGTAACGTATTCTCTGTGTGTTCTGTCTCCCTGGAGTGACGGTGAGTGATAGGAATTGGCGTAGGCCCAGGTGCAGTCTAGGAGGTGTTTAGGGTCTTTTCTGGGAAGACTGCACTGGGATTGACACACAGCGAATGTGCTTTAGGATTTCTACATCCACAGCATTCTTGAGTCAAACAACTTGCGTTCTCCAAGGAAAGGAAACAAAAGTGAAATCAAGATAAAAAAGCGAAATAGAGTTATCTTATGTCCAACAGCCAGGAAATCGTGTTGAAGCCCCTGTGAAACGTCCTACTCTTTGTGATCTCGGGAGACACATGTTAGGCTGCTGTTCTACCTGAGAGGCTGGGGGAAGGACCACCCCCTCCACCATCTATTGCTTCAATACCACCTGTCCTCCTGTGAATTAGTAGGAAAGGGGAGCAGGAGCTAGTGCTGGTGCTGATCTCTCATTCCAAGATCTGGACTCACTCCAAGGAGTATTAATGTTTACCTCCCCATGGTCTATCTGAATCTCCACAGGTGATTGGAAGTAGGGGTGAAGTGGGGGATTTGAGTGAGAGGGCAAGTTTTTTTTGTGATGAACAGAGCACTTTCTCTATTCCACGATCTGTGCTGGAGGATTCAGCGGGCTTTCACATTTTCTATATGGTCTCATGCTCACAGAAAGCCAAATACGGAAGAGGTTTTAGGCTCATTGCCTAATGGATAAGACAAAGGATCAAAGAAGTAATTATAGAGAAATAGAAAAATGATGATTGGAATTCAGGTGCCTTTGTCATTCGTGTGTGTTTTATTATATTTATGCATTTCTTATTTTTATTTTTTGAGACGGAGTCTCCTTGTGTCACCCAGGCTGGAGTGCAGTGATGCAATCTCCACTCACTGCAACCTCCACCTCCTGGGTTGAAGTTGTTCTCCTGCTTCATCCTCAAGAGTAGGAGCTGGGATTACAGGGATGCACCACCATGCTCGGCTAATTTTTGTATTTTTCATAGAGACAGGGTTTCACCATTTTGGCCAGGCTGGTCTGGAACTCCTGACTTCAAGTGATCCACCCGCCTTGGCCTCCTGCAGTGCTGGGAATTGCCTTTTCCACGGCCTGAGCATGGGGCCGTGGCTGAATGAGTCAGTGAGTCGAAGTGTGCGTGCATGAGCTCCGTTCTCTGTTAAGGCAAAGCTCTTGCTCTGCTGAGTCAGCCAGGGTTGCTTCATGACCAACAGTAATTCATTCCTGGGCAAGTGGAACTTCTCTAAAACACCTTGCCCTCATCAAATGTTCCCTACCCTTCCCTCTCTCAAGCCCCCAGGAATTTATCCTCCAGTTAGGAATGCAGGCAGAACAAACATTGCATTTTTCCTGAGAAGGATGTCAGATTGCCAATCATTTTTCTAGCTTGTAGGAGATCTCAGCTCCATAAAATGAGAGATTAAGAGATTTCACTGAGCCCTGTTTTGGGTCCAGATCCCTTTCGCTGTTGGAGTATCTGGAGTTCGGAGATGGTAGAAGACAGGCGTACAATGTCAGAGCTGTGAGATGCTGAGTCAACGCCTGAATCCAAGGTTTCCACCTCCCCAGGTTTCCAAAAGCGGATATAAGAGGGTTCTGTACTCACCGGTTTTGGAGCTTGGTTCAGTGGGTGAAGGCCAACTATTTGAAGGGTTTCCTAGAACACGAGACAGGAGAGAGGTGAGGAAATGAGGGTGTCTGTCCTCTACTCAGTGGAAATCTTTGAGGTTGGTTCATGGCCAACACTCTGTTATCTAATATTGGGCCCTGGGAGTCCTGGGATCCTTTTTTCCGTAATTTTTGTATGTGACGGCTACTGTCTTGAGACTTCAAGGTATAAAGAGAAAACAGGAGCATCACACTACCTGATCTCAAAATATGTTACAGAGCTGTAGTAAGCAAGACAGCATGACGTTGGCATGAAGAAAGGCACATAGAACAACGGAGCAGAATGAATAACACAGATATAATCCATGCATTTACCTCCAATGTATTTTTTGTTTTTCTTTTGAGATGGAGTCTTGCTCTGTCACCCAGGCTGGAGTGCAGAGGTGCAATCTCGGTTCACTGCCACCACAGCCTCCTGGGTTCAATCACTTCTCTTGCCTCAAACTCCTGAGTAGTGGTATTACAGGTGCTGACCACCATGCTCAGCTAATTTTTATATTTTTAGTGGAGACGATGTTTCATCACGTTGGCCAGACTAATCTTGAACTCTTGGCCTCAGGTGATCCACCCACCTCGGGCTCCCAAAGTGCTGAAATTGCAGGTGTCAGCCACCATGCCCAGCCCATCCAATGGACTTTGACAAAGGTGCCAAGAACTCACAATCAGGAAAGGACAGTCTTTTCAATAAACAGTGCAGGGAAACCTGGACATCTACATGCAGAGGAATGAAACTGCACCTCTGCCTGTCACTATACACAAAAATCAAATGAAAATGGATTAAAGATGTGAGTCTAAGGCCTGAACCTATGAAACACGTAGAAGAAAATATTGGGGAAATGCTCCAGGACGTTTGTCTGAAGGAAGACATTTTGTTTTAAACCTTCAAAACACAAGTAATCGAAGCAAAAATAGACCATTGGGATTACCTCAAACTAAGCAACTTCTGCACCGCTAAAAATAAACCAACAAAGTGAAGAGACAACCCACAGATTGGGAGCAAATATGTGCAAACTATGCATCTGAGATGGGATTAATAACTAGAAATATAAGAAGCTCAAACAACTCAATAAAACAAATGATTTAATTGAAAAAGGAGCAAAAGACATGAAATTTCCCCACATACGAAAAAGTGCTCAGTATCACTCATCATCAGAGAAACACAAATTAAAATCAAAGTGAGTTTTCATCTCACCCCATTAAAATGGCTTTTAGGCCGGGCGTGGTGGCTCACGTCTGTCATCCTAGAACTTTGAGAGCCTGAGGTGGGTGAATCTCATAAGGTCGGGAGTTTGAGACCAGTCTGAGCCACATGGAGAAACACTGTCTCTACTAAAAATACAAAAATTAGTCGGGCGTGGTGGCGTGTGCCTGTAATTCCAGCTACTCGGGAGGCTGAGGCAGGAGAATCGCTTGAACCTGGGAGGTGGAGGTTGTGGTGAGCCGAGATCGCACCACTGCACTCAGCCTGGGTGACAAGAGCGAAACTCCATCTCAAAATAAAATGAAATAAAATAAAATGGCTTTTAGCTGCAAGACAGGCAAAAGAAATGCTGGCAAGGTGTTAGAGAAAGGAGAATCCTGGTATCCTGTTGGTAGGAGTGTAAATTAGTACAGCCATTACGGAGAAAAGTGTGGAAGTCCTTTAAAGAACTAAAAAGAGGTTGGGTGAGGTGGATCATGCCTGTAATCCCGGCACTTTGGGAGACCGAGGCGGGCACCTCAGTTGAGGTCATGAGTTTGAGAGCAGCCCAGCCAACATGGGGAAACCGCATCTATACTAAAAAAAACAAAAAGTAGCCAGGCATGGTGGCGTGCGCCTATAATCCCTGATACTAGGGAGGCTGAGGCAGGAAAATCATTTGAACCCAGGAGGCAGAGGTTGCAATGAGCCAAGATGACATCACTTGTACTCCAGCCTGGGCACAGAGGGAAACTGTCTCAAAAACAAAAACAAAACAACAAACGAAAAACTAAAAAGAGAACTTTCATAGTATCCAGCAATTTCACTACTGGGTTTATATCCAAAGGAAAGTAAATCAATATATCGAAGTGATATCTGCACTCGTATGATTGGTGCAGCACTCTTCACAGTAGCCAAGATGAGGAGTCAACCTACCTGCCCATCAGTGGGTGAATGGATAGAGAGAATGTGGTACATTTGCATAGTGGAGACTACTCTTCCATAGAAAGAAAAACATCCTGATATTTGCAGCCACATGGATGGAACTGGAGGTCATTACAAAGATTCCCATTTCTTACCCATATACAGGAGCTAAAAGGTGGATCTCATGAAGGTAGAGAGTAGAATGGTGGCTACCAGAGGCCAGGAAGAAAAGGGTGGAGGGTAAAAAAAAATATGTGTATATATATATATATTAATGTATTTATGACCACTAGACTTTACACTTAAAAATGGTAAATGTGGCTGGGCGTGGTGGCTCATGCCTGTAATCCCAGCACTTTGGGAGGCTGATGCGGATGGATCACGTGGTCAGGAGTTCCAGACCAGCTTGACCAACATGGTGAAACCCCCTCTCTACTAAAAATACAAAAAGTAGCCTGGCATGGTGGTGCACGCCTGTAGCACCAGCTACTCAGGTGGCTGAGGCAAGAGAATCGCTTGAACCCAGGAGGCGGAAGTTGCAGTGAGCTGAGATTGTGCCAATGCACTCCAGCATAGGGGACAGAGCTAGACTCCGCCTCAAAAAAAAAATGTTAAAGGTGGTAAGCTATATAGGTATATTTATCCTCAATAAATATTTCTCAAACAAAAGTAAAGGGTGTAGGGGTTGCAGGTGATGACATCCCTGTGTGGGTGGGAGGCCAGGATGGGCTTCTGGGAAATGGGTAATGTTGAGGGGCTGAGGGAACCTCTGATCTTCCCAAACTGAGCCCAGTCTCCCTCCTCTGGGTCTCTCCTGACCGCTTTCTCCATCTGCCTGGGTGCCTGGAGTCCTGGCCGCAGGCCTTCATGCAGGCCATGTAGGAGGGTTTGGAGGTGCCCTGTCTGCCATCCTGTGCCCTGATCCCTCCCTCACACCCAAGCTTCGTCTTCTCTCTGCATCTGTTCATCCTTCTCTCCATCCTCAGCAGGAAGCTCCTCAGCTAAGGCTCTAGGATCATAGGACATGGGACAGCCATGGGCTTTCCTCACCTGTGACAGAAACAAGCAGTGGGTCACTCGAGTTTGACCACTCGTAGGGAGAGTCACGGAAAGAGCCGAAGCATCTGTAGGTTCCTCCGTGGGTGGCAGGGCCCAGAGGAAAGTCAGCCTGGAATGTTCCGTTGACCTTGGGCCCTGCAGAGAACCTACGTTCATGGGCCTCCCCCTCCCTGGATAGATGGTACATGTCATAGGAGCTCCGGGAGCTGCAGGACAAGGTCACGCTCTCTCCTGCCAGAACCGTGGGGCCCGGCTGGGCTGAGAGAGAAGGTTTCTCATATAGACCTGGAAGGAGAAGAGGCATTTTCCTTACGGAGGATCTTCCTTGTCACAGCTCCCTTCACCTGAGCTGAGAACTCACTCCCCTGCTCTATGACCTAATGCTCTCTCTCTCTGTCTCTCACCCTCCACCCCATCTCTCTTCATGTCTATTTCCTCCTTCCACCTTCTCTGTCTCTCTAGGTCTCTGACCTCGCTTCCACACCTCTAGATATGTTTTCCCTTTTTGGATTCTTTTATTCTCTCTGACTCTCCTTGGATTGGTTGACTTGATGTTACTTTTTTAAATTCTAAGTTTCTCACTTTGTGTCCTGTTCATAACTTTCTGCATATTTCTATCTATTATCTATCGATCTATCTATTTATCTATTCGGTGCCTATCTACAAATTCTCTACCTGTCATCTATGTCTATATATCATCTATGTATCTATCACTTGTCTATCTATCCATCAATCATCTGTTATCTATATCTATGTATCATCTCTCTCTCTATGACTTCTGTCTGCCTCTCTATCTCTATGTATTATCTATCTGTCTTCATCATCATCATCTCTATGTCTCATCTATTAATGAATCAATCAATCATCATCTATGTATCTTTAACCTATTATCTATCATCTACCTATTTATCATCTATCTATATCTAACCTTCTATCATCTGTCTTGCTCTGCCTCTCGGTCTCTCTAGTTCTCTTTGGAATCTCTGCAATTCATCCCCACATCTCCATCTTTCTATGTCCTTGTGCCTCTCCCTCAGGAGTCTAATTTTAGTGCTTTTCTCTGCTCCCTTCCATCATTCTCACCACTCCTCTGCCCTCTTTTCTCTCTCTTTATGTGTCTGTGAGTCTCTCAATCTCCTTCCTCTGGCTCATTCTCTGTGTGTTTATGTCTTTGCTTTTTGGTGTCCCTGATTTCTCTCTGTGCCTCTCAGTGATCCTTTCATATGTGGGGTTATTTGGAATGTGAGCCTCAGAATCCAGTCTGGAGACCACAAGTTCACACAGCATACAGGAGTTGGTGTTCTGGGGCCATGATATCCTGGGACGGTTACTCTCCATTACATGGAAGGCAGAGGTGTCAGAATAAACACGGCATCTGTAGGTGCCACAAGGCCTGAGGCCACAGGGCCCAACTCAGGTCAGAAATATGGGTGTCCTTGGGTTCTCCTGGTAGAGAACACTTTGTGGAGGTAAAACAGAAATGAAACTTCTAACCTGTGCCAGGTCTCTGAGCAAAGTCAGCATGGAGGGACACCTCTCTCTGGGACATGTCTGTCTGTCTGTCTCCTTTAACTCCTTCTGTCTTTTCTAACTCCCGGTATGGCCCCTGTGTCTGTCCTCTGTTATGACACCTGGTCTGTACTTGTGTCTCCTGTTTCTCTGTCTCTGTTGGTACAGACCTCACCAAGTCAGTCTCTCTCCATAAGAATACCAAGCTCATCTTCCTTACAACTACCTGGGGGTTCCAAGTCGTGGATCATTCACTCTGCATCCCAATGACAATGAGAAGAATGTCCGGACACTCTCACCTGTGATGACGATGTCCAGAGGGTCACTGGGAGCTGACAACTGATGGGGGAGTGAGTAACAGAACCGTAGCATCTGTAGGTCCCTGCCAGGTCTTCCATCATGGGACCGATGGAGAAGTTGGCCTTGGAAACCCCATCATGGTGCTCTCCAGTGAGGTGCAAAGTGTCGTTAAACTTCCCTTCTCTGTGCAGAAGGAAGTGCTCAAACCTGACATCTGACCAACATTGCAGGATGACTGTCTCTTCTGATTTCACCAGGGGACCTGGGTGGGCCAGGAGGGAAGGTTTTCTGTGGACTCCTAGGAAGAGAGGTTGTGAGTTTAGAAGGTGTCTCTCTTTATCATCCCATCCATGGCACCTAGAATGAGTGAGGCTTCCCCTTGCTGGTGTCTGTCTCTCTCCTTCCTCTCTGTGTCTTCATGTTCTTTTCTGTGCCCATAACTCCTGGTGCAGGTCCTTCCATCTGTCTCCCTCCCTCTTCTCTGTCCCTCTGTCTCTAGTCGCCTCTGATTCCCTTCCCACTGGGCTTAGCCTCATCTCTTGGGGTGTTGTATCTATTTCACACTAATGTCTTTCCTGCTGTTTATGTGGGGGTGAAAGAGGAACCAGGATAGGCTGCACATCCAGCCTCTTATCAGCCTGGTTCAATCTCTTTTGGATGAATTGGAATCCTTGGCAGTAGGTATGAACTGATGAATAAGGCAGGCACCAGTGTCCACACACCCTGTTCCTGGTCGGGACTGGGAGCCACTCTTGCCATGCCTGTGCCTTCTCCATGGTGCCAGCTTCCATAGGCTGGCTCCTGGTGCTGGTTTGAGGAGTATTAACCCCTCCCTATGTGGATGGAGCCTGGTGGTGGCATCATCATCCCACACTTGCTCATCTCGGTGTAGCCAACCTTCCCCTTGTTTGGTTCCTTTAATTAATTAATTAATTATGGAGACAGAGTCTCACTCCTTCACCCCAGCTGGAGTGAAGTGGTGTGGTCTAGGGTCACTGCAACCTCTGTCTCCTGGGTTCAAGTGATTCTCCTGCCCTCAGCCTCCCAAGTCGCTAGGATTACATGCGCCTGCCACCACACCCGGCTATCCTTGTGTTGTTTCTTACCTTGTCCTTGACCTGGGTTCCAGTGTTGGTTTCCTGTTGCTGCTGTAGAAAATTATCAGAAGCATGGCAGCAGGAGAGAGCACACTGACCCATTTCACTACTGGAGACAGAAATAGGACCCTGTTTTTCCTGGGCTAAAATCAAGGCATCTGCAGGGCTTCGTTCCCTCTGGAGACTCTGGAGAATCATTTCCTTGACTTTTCCAACCTCTACAGGCCACCTGCATTCATGGCTCCTGGCCTTCCTCCACCTTCAAAGCTGGTGGAGTCTCCCATTGCGCTGCTCTAATCCCCACTCCCCTCTTCCTCCTCCTTTCATGTGGACCCTTGTGATTACACTGAGCCCAGCGGGACAGTCCAGGCTGTCTCCCCATCTCAAGGTCAACTCATCAACAACCTGAGCTCCATCTTCCCCTTCAGTTCCTTCCCCTATAACATAAATAGTCACAGACTCCAGGGATTTGAATGTAGTCATCACTGGGGACAATTATTCTTCCCACCACAGCACCCATTTCCCTGTATTCAATCCCCCTTTACCCCAAATATAGTCAGGGCCTGGGTGATGGGACCCTCAAGGACACGCCCACCAGAAGCTCTGGGATTCAGGAGGTGGGAAAGGAGAATCCAAGACAGGAGCCCTCTGACCTGTGGCCATGATCACCAGGGTGTTGCTGGGTGCCGACCACCCACTGGGGTAGTGTGGGTGTGAACCCCGACATCTGTACGTCCCTGTGTGTGCTGGGGTCACAGGGCCCATGAAAAGGCTCTTCCAGAATATTCTGTTGTAGAGCTCAGTGCCAGGCACCCCATCTTCCTTTTACAGACTGAAGTTGTTAAACCCAAGATAAGAATGACACCGAAGAATCACATGTCCTGGAGGCACCACAGAGCTGGGCCAGGCAGACAGCAAGGGCTTGTCCTGACCACCTTGGGGAGAAGGAGGCACCGCCTTAGAGAGGAGGATGTGGAGCCACCCCTCCCTCCCTGTGCTCTGAAGATTCTCCTCGCTTTCCAAGTTTCTATGGCTGCTATCACACCTTGGTGCCCAGGGCTAAAGGAAGGACCCATCCCGCAAACACAAGGTGTCTCCCTACAACAAAAGTGTCAGCTGAGAACTTTGAGCAAGTGCTGAGTAAGAGACTCCTACTAGATTTTAATACTGTAAGATTACTCACATAAAACAACACAGGGTAGACATGGGGTGGAGGGCATGTCTTTGAGAATGGAATATCAGCAGATGCCTGAATGAAAATAAGCAACTGAGCCCCCATCAGAGGATTTGGAATGTCAGGGCCATGGCTGTGGTTTCCCACCTCTTCTGGTGGAGTGACAGCAGCCACACTGCAGCCCCTACCGTCATGGAAACGCTGAAGTGTGAGTAACACCTTTGTCCTCAGAGGATCTGCTGTTCCTACCACTTCCCCACCACGCACCCCAGCTTTGAGCACCCCAGTCTAACCCTGGTCCCCACAGAACTTGACTCTGCCAAGGGAATGAAAGGCCAGGGAGGCGAGGTCGGAACTGTGGGCCGAGCACCCCAGGGTCCCCTCTTCCTAGTTTATGAGAGGCTCCCTGACAGGACTTCCCTCCTGTTTCAGGAAAATCCTCTTATGTGGGGAGATGACACCCGAAGGTTTGGAGAAGGACTCACCCTCATGTGGCCAGGCCCCCTGCAGCAAGAAGAACCCTGGAAAGAAAGATCATGATGGACGATCCATCTGCAGGCAAACCAGGGCACCCTTGCTGCCCTCACTGGGCTGTGAGTCTTGGTAGGCAGGCCCTTCCTGGACTGAAGTTAAACTCACCCTCAGTGCCTACCTGCACCCAAGAACAGGGCTGTCGGCTGTGCAGAGACCCAGCCTCCAAGCCCAGATCCCCACCACAAGCCCATATCCCCACCACAAGCCCATATCTCCACTCCAGGCCAATATTTCCACCCTAGGCCTGTATCTCCACTCCAGGCCCATATCTCCACTCCAGGCCGATATTTCCATCATAGGCCCATATCGCCAATCCAGGCCCATATCGCCAATCCAGGCCAAGATCTCCACTGTAAGCCCATATCTCCAATCCAGGCCCATATCTCCACCCCAGGCTCAGATCTCCACCCTAGGCCCATATCTCCAATCCAGGCCCATATCTCCACACCAGGCCCATATCTCTACTGAAGGCCAGTAACTCCACCTCCAGGCCCATATCTCCACTCCAGGCCCAGATCTCCACCCCAAGCCCATATCTCCACCCCAGGCCCATATCTCTACTGAAGGCCCGTAACTCCACCTCCAGGCCCATATCTCCACCCCAGGCCCAGATCTCCACCCCAAGCCCATATCTCCACTCTAGGCCCATATCTCCTCTCCAGTCCCATATCTCCACAACCAGGCCCATATCTCCATCCTAGGCCCATATTTCCACTCTAGGCCCAGATATCCACCTCTAGGCCCATATCTCCACTCCTGGCCCAAATCTCCACTCCAGGCCCATATCTCTACTATAGGCCTATAACTCCACCTCCAGGCCCATGTCTCCACTCCAGGCTCCTATCTCCCCTCCAGGTTCCTATCGGCACTCCAGGCCCAGATCTCCACTTCTAGGCCCATCACTCCATCTCTAGGCCCATATATCCACTCCAGGCCCAGATCTCCACTCCAGGCCCACAACTCCACCTCCAGGCCTATATCTCCACCTCTGGGCCCAGATCTCCAACCCCACACTCCCTTCCTCTATTCCCTTCCAGGACTCACCAACACACGCCACGCTGACGACCGTGAGCGACATGGTGCTGCCGGTGCAGACAGGCGGCCGCGCCCCAGCTCAGCTCAGCAGCGCACAGGATGTTATTTGGCGCCCTGCCCATGCAGTTTACATGTTGACCACATCATGGGAGGGTGACGTACGCAGGCTCATTCTACCTTGCATGAGGCCCAGTGGGTGCTCGCTCAAGAGCGGAACACGGCTTCCTGGAAATTGTTCTCACTAGAATTTACACCTAGCGTCCTTCACTATGACCAACTCAAAACACGTCTCAGATCCAACCTCCTGAACACGAGATGCCTAAAATCTGTGCTAACGTGAAAGACTTTTCATGTATTTTTATTGTTTTTATCTGAGATTCAAACTCTTCTTCATGTGTAATATGCAAAATATCTAATAGGTATTATTAAGGTTTTCAGAGTCATTGTGACTAATAAACCATTAGAATTTTTCATGCTTGTATTTCTAGTATTACAGCAGAACCAGTTAAAATGATTTAAATTCCCAGGGAAGGATTATGCAATTATTTACAATCTTTGAATTGTACGTTATCAGCAAAAACCACACATTTAAACTCTGGATTTTTGTAGATTTATCTAAAATTTGTCTCATGACCCAAGTTTCCAGAGTCCCAACTCTGGAGTTTGTTCTCTCTCTGTCTCTCTGCCTCCCTCATTTTAAATTTTACAGAAATATCCAGTAACATAATGCTATAGAAAATCAAGTTTCCCCCAGCACGTCGGGAAGCCGAGGTGGGCGGATCAACTGATATAAGGAGTTTGAGAGCAGCCTGGCAACACAGTGAAACCGTGTCTCTGCTAAAAATCCAAAAATTAGCCGTGCCCAGTGGCAGGAACTTGTAACGCCAGCTACCCAAGAGGCTGAGGCACGAGAATCGCTTGAACCTGGGAGGCGGAGGTTGCAGTGAGCTGAGATTGCACCACTGCAGTCCAGCCTGGGCGACAGAGCAAGACTCTGCCTCAAGAAAAAAAAAAGCAAATAGCCTATAATAACAAATTAGAGGGCTCTGGCTACTAAATTTAAAGGGTTCTATAAGGCTACATAAAGTGTAGCATCATCAAGAGTGTGGACACAGACAGCCCCTTAGCAGAAACTGTCTAAAATACATCCATGTACACACAGTCCCTTTAGAGTTGACAAAGGCTGCCGTGTGGTTTAAGGTGGCATAGAATGTCTTCTCAATAAATAATATTAAACCAATGGGTTACACCTAGTAAAAAATAAATCTAACTCACACTATAAAAACACTTCTTAGTTTTTATCTAGTTGTACATTTTTTGATTTATATTTAAATTTGAGAAATAAAAGTCATATACGGTCATCCTTCACTATTCGTGGGTGATTGGTTTCGAGATCTCCACTCAGATACCAAAATCTGTAGATGCTCAAGCCTCTTATATGAAATGGCACAGCGCTTGCAAATAACATATGCACATCCTCCTGTATACATGAAATCATCTCTTGATTACTTATAATTCCTGATACAGCCTACACACAGCTTCATTTGTGTCCATTCAACATAGTTATGAGTTTTGGAACTCTGTGGATATTTTCTCTGAATATTTTTGATTTATACTTTGTTCAATAAAGACCTGTAAACCCCACAGATACGGAGGAGTGACCGTATATTTATAGTATGAAAGATGATGTGTTGATATGTGTCCCCATGGAGATGAGACTAACAAGGCCTATGACTCTACAAATGTTTCATTGTGGAATGACTCTGCCAGCTTTCCAGGTCTGCAGAGAGTAACAATGTCACTTGTTCATGTGATTCCCGATCCTTGGAACCTCCTATGTGCTGCATCTTTGGATGGAAATTGGAGTCCCAGAGACAAATGAGGCTCCACACTGCTTCCAGAAGCTCAGAGTCCAGAGGTGAGAACCCCGTGGAGAACAGATGGGATTATATGGACATGGTACTGATAACACCGGAAGCCTTAGGCAAGAAAAGAGTCCCATTACCTAAACCATGAGGGCAGACATGTTTATTTGAAGGAGGGAAAACTACATTGAAATTATTTTAAAAAATATATAAGTTTTACTGCTGACAGAAGGCTGAAAGCTAGTCTGAGGGGAGGTGGAACAGCATGAGGGAAGGTGGAACAGCACGTGTCTAAGTGCCGTGTTAAGAGGGAGCCTCTTGTATGTTTGGAATTGTGAGTTCCTCAGTGTGATTGCAGCCTCAAGTAGACTAGGAAGTAAGCCAGTTAGGTTGGAGAGGTGGGCAGGGGTCAAGTGAAATGGAGAATTGTGGGCTAAGCAAAGGAGTGTGTTTTCTCTCCAGCAGGCAGTGGGGACCTTAGACATTTGTAAGCAAGAGAGAGGCACGTTCAGATTTGTGGTGTGAGGAAGAGCGATGCCCTAAGATGCAGACTCACGCCTTCAGATTCCAGCTGCTGGTACATTGGAGCTGGCAACCCAGTTTTGAGACAGGGCTGTTGTCTCCCTAGAAGATCCCCTCAAGGCCTGACTGTGGTGCTCATGGGCAGGAGACAACTTTGGATCAGGGCTCAGCATTTGGAAGTTCCGTGTACACGATGATATCTGTTGGGGGTGTCTTGGGCCTCTGAGAAGGGTGAGTGATTTTTCTCTGTGTGAAAACGCAGTGATTCAACTGTGCATATGTCACCTCCTGAGGGTCTTGTTCATCAGAGTCCTGGAGAGAGGGAAATCCTGAGTGAGGGAGGGTGCTCACATTTTCCAGGACTCTTTGGGAATAACACTAGCCACGAGGCTGGGCCGAGGAGCACCTACCTCCCTGTTCACTGTTCTGTTCCCTGCAGGCTCTTGGTCCATTACAACAGCATCTGTAGAAGACGGAAGTCAACAAAACAGCTCAGAGGGCACTTCTGGGCCCTCATTTCATAAGCAGATACCAACATACAGGGGGAGACCATAGGAGCCTGAGGTCCCTCAGTTGCCAACAGCAGACTCAGACATTCTATCTCTCTGAGCTCAAGGACCCATCCCATGAATAGCTCTGAGTTCCCATCCCATTGATTCTGTCTCCCACTTTCTGCCTGTCATGGAACCTTCTCCTGGATGTGAGTGGCTGCAGGGGACATGAGGATACAGTTCAGAATCAGGCAATGGTCTGTGAGCTGAAGGCAGGGACAGGGAGTCTGGTGCTCTCTCTAGAAAGTCCTCCCTCTGTGGCTGCTGCCTTGGGCCAGGGACCATCCTGTCTGTGAGGAACACACACCTGAGTGCTCCCATCCTGCTTCCCCACATGGCCCTGAGCTCTCTGGCCTCTGCTTCGTGAGACTTACTTTTTTTGTTGCAGCACCAGCGATGAAGGAGAAAGAAGAGGAGGAGGATGAAGAGGATGATGACCACTGAGGTCCCAATCAGAACATGCAGGTGTCTGGGGTTACCTGGAAGAAGAGGAGACACCAATAAGAAGCTAATCATAGCAGTTCCTCTTTATGAATTGTCTCACATTTCTTGATTGACAGGTAACCACATACAACACCCCTTTAGGACAAGCACCCAGATGGAGGGAGACCCAGCTTTCTCCTGCTTTCTCAGTTATAGCTCTCATAGTAACCATAGAACGTGTTGAGGATACAACTACTTTAGTTGAGATGTTTGACCCCTTCAAACCTCACATTGAAATTTCACCCCCACTGTGGGAGGTTGGGCCTCTTGAGAGGTGTTTGGGTCATGGAGGTGGATCCATCATGAACAGACCAATGCTGTCCCAAGGAGACGGGGTTAGCAAGTTCCCCTTCTATTAGTTCCTGGAGAGCTGGTTGTTCAAAAGAGCTTGGAAGCTCCATCGCTCCCCCTCCCCCTTGCTCCCTCTCTTGCCGTGTGATCTCTGTGGTCTCTGCACAGACAGACCCTCCTTCCCTTCTGCCAGAGTGGGAGCAGCCTGAGGCCGTCACGAGAAATAGATGCTGGTGCCACGCTTCCAGTATAGCCTGCAGAACTGTGAGGCAAACCAATCTCTTTTCTCTAGAAGTTACCCAGGCTCAAGTGTTCCTTTAGAGCAACAAAAATGGACTAAGACAGCAACGTCCTGAGATCAGGAGGAACGTCTCAGAACAGCCTGGGCTGTCTTCCTGTTCTTCCTGGAGGAGGACGTCATGCAGTGCTTTAGCTGAGTGCTTCCTGTGGCTCCACAGTACAAAACCCAGGCTGGGCTGCTCTCTGGCTTCCCCCAGCTACACTGCAAATGGGGTGACTCCATATGTCCCGAGGAGCTTTTCTGAGCCTTGAGGGACTGGCTCACATTGAAATGTAGGTTTCTGTTGTCACTCGCTGCTTATCTGTTAGTAATGAACCTGCCTGTGTAATGTATTCTCTGTGTGTTCTGTCTCCCTGGAGTGACGGTGAGTGATAGGAATTGGCATAAGCCCAGGTGCAGTCCAGGAGGTATTTAGAGTCTTCTCTGGGAAGACTGCACTGGGATTGATACACAGCGAATGTGCTTTAGGATTTCTACATCCACAGCATTCTTGAATCAAACAACTTGCATTCTCCAAGAAAAGGAAACAAAAGTGAAATCAAGATAAAAAAAGCTAAGTAGAATTCTCTTATGTCAAATGGCCAGGAAATAGTGTTGAAGCCCGTGTGAAACGTGCTACTCTTTGTGATCTCGGGAGACACATGTTAGGCTGCTGTTCTACCCGAGAGGCTGGGGGAAGGACCACCCCCTCGGCCATCTATTGCTTCAATACCACCTGTCCTCCTGTGAATTAGTAGGAAAGGGGAGCAGGAGCTAGTGCTGGCACTGATCTCTGATTCCAAGATCTGGACTCACTCCAAGGAGTATCAATGTTTACCTCCCCATAGCCTATCTGAATCTCCACAGGTGATTGGAAGTAGGGGTGAGGTGGGGGATTTGGGTGAGTGGGCAAGTTTTTTGTTGCGATGAACAGAGCACTTTCTCTATTCCACGATCTGTGCTGGAGGATTCTGAGGGCTTTCACATTTTCTATGTGATCTCATTCTCACAGAAAGCCAAATAGGGAAGAGGTTTTAAGCTCATTGCCTAATGGATAAGATAAAGGATCAAAGAAGTAATTATAGAGAAATAGAAAAACGATGATTGGAATTCAGGTGCCTTTGTCATTCGTGTGTGTTTTATTATATTTATGTATTTCTTATTTTTATTTTTTGAGATAGAGTCTCCTTGTGTCCCCCAGGCTGGAGTGCAGTGATGCAATCTCCACTCACTGCAACCTCCACCTACTGGGTTGAAGTCGTTCTCCTGCTTCATCCTCCAGAATAGGAGCTGGGATTACAGGGATGCACCATCGTGCTCGGCTAATTTTTGTATTTTTAGTAGAGATAGGGTTTCACCACGTTGGCCAGGCTGGTCTGGAACTCCTGACTTCATGGAATCCACCCACCTTGGCCTCCTGCAGTGCTAGGTTACAGGCGTGAGCCACTGTTCACAGACTTGTATATTATGCTATAATAAGTCTCTTCATTTCCACCACCACTCATATATCTGTCACTCCTTTGCCAGGTATTGATTTATGTGTAGGATGAATAAATCTCAGAAAGAAATTAATTAAGCGAGGATTAAACAAGTAGGAAAATCAAACCCAGTAAGCCTTTCCAGTCAACGATTCTACCTCACAAACATATCTTATATCCATCTACTTCATTCATTTAGTGTCTAAATCAGCACCACATTTCACCAGTGGGGCGGCAATTGCCTTTTCCACGGTCTCCTAGATTCCAGTTATGCAACTGAGCCTCCCTTATTTTCATGTCCGTCATATTAATCATGTAGGGATTCCTGGTTACCCCGAGGTGAATCCAATGGCTGTGAGTGTCAAACACACACTCCTTGTTGCTCCTTAGTTTCCTGTGTACCCAGTGTGCTCTCCGTCTCCCTACAGTCGTCTTGTCATTCTCCCCACCTCATTCCCAGCATTTGAGGCAGAGCCTCTTCCTTCCACATCAGATTGTTTTCACCTTTGTGCCTTCACGGCTGACAGCTGTGTGTGCAAAATCCTTCCGCCAATCTTTCAGGGGTTCAATCCGTGTTTTTCATTAATGTCACAAATATCTGAATAGAGAGACCTTCTTTGTCACCTGAAATCATACACTCAGCATTATCTATTATTGATTTTGAATTCTGGCTGGGCACAGTGGCTCACGCCTGTAGTCCCATTACTTTGGCATGCTGAGACGGTCGGATCACTTGAGGTTGGGAGTTTCAGACAAGCTTGGCCAACGTGGTGAAACATCCTTTCTACAAAAAATATACAAAAAGAATTAGCCGGGCACGGTGGCAGTTGCCTGTAATCCCAGCTACTCGAGAGGCGGAGGCAGGAGAATCACTTGAATCCAGGAGACGCAGGTTGCAGTGAGCCAAGATCGTGACACTGCACTGTAGCCTGGAAGACAGAGGGCGACTCTGTCTCAATAAACAAAAGAACAAACAAAAAATAGATTTCATGCACAGATGCTTCCCAATGGATCATTCATTTATAGATCCACTTGTGCATTCATTTTCTGCCCTCCCATTTAACCATCTGCAATATCAGTGTCCCAAGGGCAGAGGCCAAATGCATCTTGTTCACCGTTTGTGGAAGGCAGGAGAATGCTGTCCCACCCCAAAATGTCCCTGTCCTAGCCTCCATAGCTTGTGAATATGTTATTTTACATGGAAAGGAGGAATGAAGATTGTAGATGGAATTGCGGTTGCTAATCAGCTGAACTTAAAACAAGGGTATCCTGGATGATTTCCAGGAGATTATGAGGGATTTTCATCTTGGTGAACCCAATAGAATCCCCAAGTTTTCAAAAGATAAGGAAGAAGGGAGAGCAGCATTCAGAGAAAGAGGTGTGGTAAGGAAGAAGGCACTGAGTGATGCCATGTGAGATGTGACCAGTCTTTGTGGGCTTTGAGGAAGGAGGAAGGGGAACAGGAGCCAAGGAACTGGGAGCCTTTAGAAGCTGGGATAAGTGAGAAGCAGATTCTTGCCTGGAATCCTCAGAGGGAAGGCAGCCTTGCTGTCACCTTGATTTTAGCCCAGTAAGATGCACTTCCTACTTTGAGCTACAGCACTGTAAGATAATTAAAAAACCGTTTTGTTTTCACCCACGAATCTTGTGGAAATTTGTTATGGCAACAATAGGAAAAGGTTCCGCACTGCACAGCCTGAGCATGGGGCCGTGGCTGAATGAGTCAGTGAGTCGAAGTGTGCGTGCATGAGCTCCGTTCTCTGTTACGGCAAGGCTGTTGCTCTGCTGAGTCAGCCAGGGTTGCTTCATGACCAACAGTAATTCATTCCTTGGCAAGTGGAACTTCTCTAAAACACCTCGCCCTCATCAGATGTTCCCTTCCCTTCCCTCTCTCAAGCCCCCAGGAATTTATCCTCCAGTTAGGAATGCAGGCAGAACAAACATTGCATTTTTCCTGAGAAGGATGTCAGATTGGCAATCATTCTTCTAGCTTGTAGGAGATCTCAGCTCCATAAAATGAGAGATTAAGAGATTTCACTGAGCCCTAGGTTGGGCCCAGATCCCTTTCGCTGTTGGAGTATCTGGAGTTCGGAGATGGTAGAAGACAGGCGTACAATGTCAGAGCTGCGAGATGCTGAGTCAATGCCTGCATCGAAGGTTTCTACCTCCCCAGGTTTCCAAAAGCGGATATAAGAGGGTTCTGTACTCACCGGTTTCGGAGCTTGGTTCAGTGGGTGAAAGCCAACTATTTGAAGGGTTTCCTAGAACATGAGACAGGAGAGAGGTGAGGAAATGAGGGTGTCTGTCCTCTACTCAATGGAAATCTTTGAGGTTGGTTCATGGCCAACACTCTGTTATCTAATATTGGGCCCTGGGAGTCCTGGGATCCTTTTTTCCGTAATTTTTGTATGTGACGCCCACTGTCTTGAGACTTCAAGGTATAAAGAGAAAACAGGAGCATCACACTACCTGATCTCAAAATATGTTACAGAGCTGTAGTAAGCAAAACAGCATCACATTGGCATAAAGAAAGGCACGTAGAACAATGGAGCAGAATGAAGAACACAGATATAATCCATGCATTTACCTCCAATGTTTTTTTCTTTTTTCTTTTGAGATGGAGTCTCGCTCTGTCGCCCAGGCTGGAGTGCAGAGGTGCAATCTCGGTTCACTGCCACCACAGCCTCCTGGGTTCAATCAATTCTCTGGCCTCAAACTCCTGAGTAGTGGTATTACAGGTGCTGACCACCATGCTCAGCTAATTTTTATATTTTTAGTGGAGACAATGTTTCATCACGTCGGCCAGACTAATCTTGAACTCCTGGCCTCAGGTGATCCACCCGCCTTGGGCTCCCAAAGTGCTGAAATTGCAGGTGTCAGCCACCATGCCCAGCCCATCCAATGGACTTTGACAAAGGTGCCAAGAACTCACAATCAGGAAAGGACAGTCTTTTCAATAAACAGTGCAGGGAAACCTGGACATCTACATGCAGAGGAATGAAACTGCACCTCTACCTGTCACTATACACAAAACTCAAATGAAAATGGATTAAAGATGTGAGTCTAAGGCCTGAACCTATGAAACACGTAGAAGAAAATATTGGGGAAATGCTCCAGGACATTTGTCTGAAGGAAGACATTTTGTTTTAAACCTTCAAAACACAAGTAATCGAAGCAAAAATAGACCATTGGGATTACCTCAAACTAAGCAACTTCTGCACCGCTAAAAATAAACCAACAAAGTGAAGAGACAACCCACAGATTGGGAGCAAATATGTGCAAACTATGCATCTGAGATGGGATTAATAACTAGAAATATAAGAAGCTCAAACAACTCAATAAAACAAATGATTTAATTGAAAAAGGAGCAAAACACATGAAATTTCCCCACATACTAAAAAGTGCTCAGTTTCACTCATCATCAGAGAAACACAAATTAAAATCAAAGTGAGTTTTCATCTCACCCCATTAAAATGGATTTTAGGCCGGGCGTGGTGGCTCACGTCTGTCATCCTAGACCTTTGAGAGCCTGAGGTGGGTGAATCTCATAAGGTCGGGAGTTTGAGACCAGTCTGACCCACATGGAGAAACACTGTCTCTACTAAAAATACAAAATTTAGTTGGGCGTGGTGGCGTGTGCCTGTAATTCCAGCTACTCGGGAGGCTGAGGCAGGAGAATCGCTTGAACCTGGGAGGTGGAGGTTGTGGTGAGCCGAGATCGCACCACTGCACTCCAGCCTGGGTGACAAGAGCGAAACTCCATCTCAAAATAAAATGAAATAAAATAAAATGGCTTTTAGCTGCAAGACAGGCAAAGGAAATCCTGCCAAAGTGGTAGAGAAAGGAGAACCCTAATACCCTGTTGGTAGGAGTGTAAATTAGTACAGCCTTTACGGAGAAAAGTGTGGAAGTCCTTTAAAGAACTAAAAAGAGGTTGGGTGAGGTGGATCATGCCTGTAATCCCGGCACTTTGGGAGACCGAGGCGGGCACCTCAGTTGAGGTCATGAGTTTGAGAGCAGCCCAGCCAACATGGGGAAACCGCATCTATACTAAAAAAAACAAAAAGTAGCCAGGCATGGTGGCGTGCACCTGTAATCCCAGCTACTAGGGAGGCTGAGGCAGGAAAATCATTTGAACCCAGGAGGCGGAGGTTGCAATGAGCCAAGATGACTTCACTTGTACTCCAGCCTGGGCACAGAGGGAAACTGTCTCAAAAACAAAAACAAAACAACAAACGAATAACTAAAAAGAGAACTTTCATAGTATCCAGCAATTTCACTACTGGGTTTATATCCAAAGGAAAGTAAATCAATATATCGAAGTGATATCTGCACTCGTATGATTGGTGCAGCACTGTTCACAGTAGCCAAGATGTGGAGTCAACCTACCTGCCCATCAGTGGATGAATGGATAGAGAGAATGTAGTACATACGCACAGTGGAGACTACTCATCCATAGAAAGAATAACATCCTGATATTTGCAGCCACATGGATGGAACTGGAAGTCATTACAAAGATTCCCATTTCTCACCCATATACAGAGCTAAAAGGTGGATCTCATGAAGGTAGAGAGTAGAATGGTGGCTTCCAGAGGCCAGGAATAAAAGGGTGGAGGGTAAAAAAAAAAAAAAAAAAAAAAAAAAAAAATATATATATATATATATATATATATATATATATGTATATATGTGTGTGTGTGTGTATATATATATATATATATATATATATATATATATATATAAATGTATTTATGACCACTAGACTTTACACTTAAAAATGGTAAATGTGGCTGGGCGTGGTGGCTCATGCCTGTAATCCCAGCACTTTGGGAGGCAGATGCGGGTGGATCACGTGGTCAGGAGTTGGAGACCAGCTCGACCAACATGGTGAAACCCCCTCTCTACTAAAAATACAAAAAGTAGCCTGGCGTGGTGGTGCGCGCCTGTAGCACCAGCTACTCAGGTGGCTGAGGCAGGAGAATCACTTGAACCCAGGAGGCGGAAGTTGCAGTGAGCTGAGATTGTGCCACTGCACTCCAGCATAGGGGACAGAGCTAGACTCTGCCTCAAAAAAAAAAAAAATGTTAAAGGTGGTAAGCTATATAGGTATATTTATCCTCAATAAATATTTCTTCAAACAAAAGTAAAGGGTGTAGGGGTTGCTGGTGATGACATCCCTGTGTGGGTGAGAGGCCAGGATGGGCTTCTGGGAAATGGGTAATGTTGAGGGGCTGAGGGAACCTCTGATCTTCCCAAACTGAGCCCAGTCTCTCTCCTCTGCGTCTCTCCTGACCGTTTTCTCCATCTGCCTGTGTGCCTGGAGCCCTGGCCGCGGGCCTTCATGCAGGCCGTGTAGGAGGGTTTGGAGGTGCCCTGTCTGCCATCCTGTGCCCTGATCCCTCCCTCACACCCAAGCTTCGTCTTCTCTCTGCATCTGTCCATGCTTCTCTCCATCATCAGCAGGAAGCTCCTCAGCTAAGGCTCTAGGATCATAGGACATGAGACAGATATGGGGTTTCCTCACCTGTGACAGAAACAAGCAGTGGGTCACTCGAGTTTGACCACTCGTATGGAGAGTCACGGAAAGAGCCGAAGCATCTGTAGGTTCCTCCGTGGGTGGCAGGGCCCAGAGGAAAGTCGGCCTGGAATGTTCCGTTGACCTTGGGCCCTGCAGAGAACCTACGTTCATGGGCCTCCCCCTCCCTGGATAGATGGTACATGTCATAGGAGCTCCGGGAGCTGCAGGACAAGGTCACGCTCTCTCCTGCCAGAACCGTGGGGCCCGGCTGGGCTGAGAGAGAAGGTTTCTCATATAGACCTGGAGGAGAAGAGGCATTTTCCTTACGGAGGATCTTCCTTGTCACAGCTCCCTTCACCTGAGCTGAGAACTCACTCCCCTGCTCTATGACCTAATGCTCTCTCTCTCTCTCTCTCACCCTCCACCCCATCTCTCTTCATGTCTATTTCCTTCTTCCACCTTCTCTGTCTCTCTAGGTCTCTGACCTCGCTTCCCCACCTCTAGATATGTTTTCCCTTTTTGGATTCTTTTATTCTCTCTGACTCTCCTTGGATTGGTTGACTTGATGTTACTTTTTTAAATTCTAAGTTTCTCACGTTGTGTCCTGTTCATAACTTTCTGCATATTTCTATCTATTATCTGTCGATCTATCTATTTATCTATTCGGTGTCTATCTACAAATTCTCTACCTGTCATCTATATCTATATATCATCTATGTATCTATCACTTGTCTATCTATCCATCAATCATCTGTTATTTATATGTATGTATCATCTCTCTCTCTATGATTTCTGTCTGCCTCTCTATCTGTACGTATTATCTGTCTTCATCATCATCATCTCTATGTATTATCTATTAATGAATCAATCAATCATCATCTATGTATCTTTAACCTATTATCTATCATCTACCTATTTATCATCTATCTATATCTATCCATCTATCATCTGTCTTGCTCTGCCTCTCGGTCTCTCTAGCTCTCTTTGGAATCTCTGCAATTCATCCCCACATCTCCATGTTTCTATGTCCTTGTGCCTCTCTCTCAGGACTCTAATTTTAGTGCTTTTCTCTGCTCCCTGCCATCATTCTCACCACTCCTCTGCCCTCTTTTCTCTCTCTTTATGTGTCTGTGAGTCTCTCAATCTCCTTCCTCTGGCTCATTCTCTGTGTGTTTATGTCTTTGCTTTTTGGTGTTCCTGATTTTTCTCTGTGCCTCTCAGTGATCCTTTCATATGTGGGGTTATTTGGAATGTGAGCCACAGAATCCAGTCTGGAGACCACAAGTTCACACAGCATACAGGGGTTGGTGTTCTGGGGCCATGATATCCTGGGACGATTACTCTCCATTACATGGAAGGCAGAGGTGTCAGAATAAACATGGCCTGTAGGTGCCACAAGGCCTGAGGCCACAGGGCCCAACTCAGGTCATAAATATGGGTGTCCTTGGGTTCTCCTGGTAGAGAACACTTTGTGGAGGTAAAACAGAAATGAAACTTCTAACCTGTGCCAGGTCTGTGAGCAAAGTCAGCATGGAGGGACACCTCTCTCTGGGACATGTCTGTCTGTCTGTCTCTTTTAACTCTTTCTGTCTTTTCTAACTCCCTGTATGGCCCCTGTGTCTGTCCTCTGTTATGACACCTGGTCTGTACTTGTGTCTCCTGTTTCTCTGTCTCTGTTGGTACAAACCTCAGCAAGTCAGTCTCTCTCCATAAGAATACCAAGCTCATCTTCCTTACAACTACCTGGGGGTTCCAAGTCGTGGATCATTCACTCTGCATCCCAATGACAATGAGAATGTCCGGACACTCTCACCTGTGATGACGATGTCCAGAGGGTCACTGGGAGCTGACAACTGATAGGGGGAGTGAGTAACAGAACCGTAGCATCTGTAGGTCCCTGCAAGGTCTTGCATCATGGGACCGATGGAGAAGTTGGCCTTGGAGACCCCATCATGGTGCTCTCCAATGAGGTGCAAAGTGTCCTTAAACTTCCCTTCTCTGTGCAGAAGGAAGTGCTGAAACCTGACATCTGACCAACATTGCAGGATGACTGTCTCTTCTGATTTCACCAGGGGACCTGGGTGGGCCAGGAGGGAAGGTTTTCTGTGGACTCCTAGGAAGAGAGGTTGTGAGTTTAGAAGGTGTCTCTCTTTATCATCCCATCCATGGCACCTAGAATGAGTGAGGCTTCCCCTTGCTGGTGTCTGTCTCTCTCCTTCCTCTCTGTGTCTTCATGTTCTTTTCTGTGCCCTTAACTCCTGGTGCAGGTCCTTCCATCTGTCTCCCTCCCTCTTCTCTGTCCCTCTGTCTCTAGTAGCCTCTGATTCCCTTCCCACTGGGCTTAGCCTCATCTCTTGGGGTGTTGTATCTATTTCACACTAATGTATTTCCTGCTGTTTATGTGGGGGTGAAAGAGGAACCAGGATAGGCTGCACATCCAGGCTCTTATCAGCCTGGTTCAATCTCTTTTGGATGAATTGCAATCCTTGGCAGAAGGTATGAACTGATGAATAAGGCAGGCACCAGTGTCCACACACCCTGTTCCTGGTGGGGACTGGGAGCCACTCTTGCCATGCCTGTGCCTTCTCCATGGTGCCAGCTTCCATAGGCTGGCTCCTGGTGCTGGTTGGAGGAGTATCAACCCCTCCCTATGTGGATGGAGCCTGGTGGTGGCATCATCATCCCACCCTTGCTGATCTCAGGGTAGCCAACCTTCTCCTTGTTTGGTTTCTTTAATTAATTAATTAATTTTGGAGACAGAGTCTCACTCCTTCACCCAGGCTGGAGTGAAGTGGTGTGGTCTAGGCTCACTGCAACCTCTGTCTCCTGGGTTCAAGTGATTCTCCTGCCCTCAGCCTCCTGAGTCGCTAGGATTACATGCACCTGCCACCATGCCTGGCTTTCCTTGGGTTGTTTCTTAACTTGTCCTTGACCTGGGTTCCAGTGTTGGTTTCCTGTTGCTGCTGTAGAAAATTATCAGAAGCATGGCAGCAGGAGAGACCACACTGACACCTTCCAGTACTGGAGACAGAAATTGGACCCTATTTTTCCTGGGCTAAAATCAAGGCATCTGCAGGGCTTTGTTCCCTCTGGAGACTCTGGAGAATCAGTTCCTTGACTTTTCCAGCCTCTATAGGCCACCTGCATTCATGGCTCTTGGCCTTCCTCCACCTTCAAAGCTGGTGAAGACTTCCACTGGACTGCTCTAATCCCCACTCCCCTCTTCCTCCTCCTTTCATGTGCACCCTTGTGATTACACTGAGCCCAGTGGGACAGTCCAGGCTGTCTCCCCATGAGCTCCATCTTCCCCTTCAGTCCCTTCCCCTATAACATAAATAGTCACAGACTCCAGGGATTAGAATGTAGTCATCACTGGGGACAATTATTCTTCCCACCACAGCACCCATTTCCCTGTATTCAATCCCCCTTTACCACAAATACAGTCAGGGCCTGCGTGATGGGACCCTCAAGGACATGCCCACCAGAAGCTCTGGGATTCAGGAGGTGGGACAAGGAGAATCCAAGACAGGAGCCCTCTGACCTATGACCACGATCACCAGGGGGTTGCTGGGTGCTGACCACCCACTGGGGGAGTGTGTGTGTGAACCCCGACATCTGTATGTCCCTGTGTGTGCGGGGGTCACAGGGCCCATGAAAAGGCTGTTCCAGAATATTCTGTTGTAGAGCTCAGGGACAGGCACCCCACCTTCCTTGTACAGACTGAAGTTGTTAAACCCAAGATAAGAGTGACACCGAAGAATGACATGTCCTAGAGGCACCACAAGGCTGGGCCAGGCAGACAGCAAGGGCTTGTCCTGACCACCTTGGGGAGAAGGAGGCGCCGCCTTAGAGAGGAGGATGTGGAACTGCCCTTCCCTCCCTGTGCTCAGAAGATTCTCCTCGCTTTCCACGTTTCTATGGCTACTATCACACCTTGGTGCCCAGGGCTGAAGGAAGGACCCATCCCGCAAAGACATGGTGTCTCCCTACAACAAAAGCCTCAGCTGAGAACTTTGAGCAAGTGCTGAGTAAAGAGACTCCTACTAGATTTTAATACTGTAAGATTACTCACATAAAACAACACAGGGTAGACATGAGGTGGAGGGCATGTCCTTTGTGAATGGATATCAGCGGATGCCTGAACGAAAATAAACAACTGAGCCCCCATCAGAGGATTTGGAATGTCAGGGCCATGGCTGTGGTTTCCCACCTCTTCTGGTAGAATGACAGCAGCCACACTGCAGCCCCTACCATCATGGAAACGCTGAAGTGTGTGAGTAACACCTTTGTCCTCAGAGGATCTGCTGTTCCTACCACTTCCCAACCACACACCCCAGCTTTGAGCACCCCAGTCTAACCCTGGTCCCCACAGAACTTGACTCTGCCAAGGGGTTGAGAGGCCAGGGAGGCGAGGTCAGAAATGTGGGCTGAGCACCCCAGGGTCCTCTCTTCCTAGTTTATGAGAGACTCCCCGACAGGACTTCCCTCCTGTTTCAGGAAAATCCTCTTATGTGGGGAGATGACACCCGAAGGTTTGGAGAAGGACTCACCCTCATGTGGCCAGGCCCCCTGCAGCAAGAAGAACCCTGGAAAGAAAGATCATGATGGACCATCCATCTGCAGGCAAACCAGGCCTCCCTTGCTGCCCCCACTGGGCTGTGAGTCTTGGCAGCCAGGCCCTTCCTGGGCTGAAGTTAAACTCACCCTCAGTGCCTACCTGCACCCAAGAACAGGGCTGTCGGCTGTGCAGAGACCCAGTTTCCAGGCCCATATCCCCACCCCAAGCCCATATCTCCACTCCAGGCTGATATTTCCACCCTAGGCCCATATCGCCAATCCAGGCTCAGATCTCCACCCTAGGCCCCTATCTCCAATCCAGTCCCATATCTCCGCCCCAGGCCCAGATCTCCACCCTAAGCCCATATCTCCACTCCAGGCCCATATCACCTCTCCAGTCCCATATCTCCACACCCAGGCCCATATCTCCTTCCTAGGCCCATATCTCCACTCCAGGCCCAGATATCCACCTCTAGGCCCATAACTCCACTCCTGGCCCATATCTCCACTCCAGGCCCATATCTCTACTGCAGGCCCGTATCTCCACCTCCAGACCCATATCTCCACTCCAGGCCCATATCTCCACCTCCAGGCCCATATCTCCACCTCCAGGCCCATATCTCCACTCCAGGCCCATATCTCCACTCCAGGCCCATATCTCCACTCCAGGCCCCTATCTCTACTGCAGGCCCATATCTCCATCTCCAGGCCCATATCTCCATCTCCAGGCCCATGTCTCCACTACAAGCCCATATCTCTACTGCAGGCCCATATCTCAACCTCCAGGCCCATATCTCCACTCCAGGCCCAGATCTCCACTCCAGGCCCAGATCTCCACTTCTAGGCCCATCACTCCATCTCTAGGCCCATAACTCCACTTCCAGGCCTATATCTCCAACTCTGGGCCCCGATCTCCATCCCCGCACTCCCTCCCTCGATGCCCTTCCAGGACTCACCAACACACACCATGCTGACGACCATGAGCGACATGGTGCTGTCTGTGCAGACAGGCGGCCGCGCCCCAGCTCAGCTCAGCAGCGCACAGGATGTTATTTGGCGCCCTGCCCATGCAGTTTACATGTTGACCACATCATGGGAGGGTGACGTACGCAGGCTCTTTCTACCTTGCATGAGGCCCAGTGGGTGCTCGCTCAAGAGCGGAACATGGCTTCCTGGAAATTGTTCTCACTAGAATTGACACCTTGCGTCCTTCACTACGACCAGACTCAAAAGACGTCTCAGATCCAACCTCTCATACACGAGATGATTGAATTCTGTGCTTACATTAAAGATTTTTGATGTATTTTTGTTTTTATCTGAGATTCAAACTCTTCTTCATATGTAATGTGCAAAATGTCTAACAGGTATTATTAACATTATCAGAGTAATTGTGACAAGAAGCCATTCTAATTTTCCTGCTTGAGTTTCTACTACTAAACCAGAGGCATCAGAATAGCTTGAACCTGGGAGACGGAGGTTGCAGTGAGCTGAGCTCAAGCCACTGAACTCCAGCTTGGGTGACAGAGGAAGAGTCTGTCTCAAGAAAAAAAAAAAAAGCAAACTAAATAACCTATAATAACAAATCAGAGGACTCAGGTTACCAAATTTTAAGGGGTTCTATAAGTTTATATAAAATGCAGCATCCTCATGAGAGGGGATACAGAGAACCACTGGACAGAAAACTGTGTCTAAAATACATCTGTGGATACACAGTCCCTTTATAGTTGACAAAGGCTGCCATGTAGTTTAAGGTGGAATAGAATATTTTCTCAACAAATAACACAGGACCATAGGGTTACACGTAGGAAAAAATAAATCTAAACTTATCCTCACACTATAAAAACACTTCTTATTTTTTATCTTGTTGTTGTAAATTTTTTATGCTTTATTTTTAAGATTGACAAATAAAAATTATATACCATGGTCCTTCACTATACCTGGGTGATTGGTTCCAGGATCCCCATTCAGATACCAAAATCTGCAGATGCTCAAGCCCCTTGCATGAAATGGCATAGTGAAGCTGGGCACCGTGGCTCACGCCTGTAATCCCAGCACTTTGGGAGGCTGAGCTGGGTAGATCACAAGGTCAGGAGTTCAAGACCAGCTGGTCCAACATTCTGAAACCCCATCTCTACTAAAAATATACACACAAAAAAATTTATCTGTGCAGGGTGGCACGTGCCTGTAATCCTAGGGGAGGCTACTGGGGAGGCTGAGGGAAGAGAATCGCTTGAACCTGGAAGGCGGAGGTTGCAGTGAGTTGAGATCACGCCACTGCACTCCAGCCTGGGTGAGAGAGTGAGACTGTCTCAAAAAAAAAAAAAAAATAGCATAGCAATTGCATAGAACCCATGCACATCCTCCTGTATACATGAAATCATCTCTTGATTACTTATAATTCCTGACACAGCCTACACGCCACTCAATTTGTGTCGATTCAACATAGTTTTTTGCTTTTTGAAACTTCGGGGATTTTTTTTCTCAAAATATTTTTGATTTATTGCTGATTCAATAAACATGTGTAAACCCCAGAGATATGGAGGAGTGACTGTCTATTTATAGTAGTATGAAAGATGATGTGTTGATACGTGTCCCTGTGGAGATGAGACTAACAAGGCCTATGACTCTACAAATGTTTCATCGTGGAATGACTCTGCCAGCTTTCCAGATCTGCAGAGAGTAAGAATATCACTTGTTCATCTGATTCACCATCCTTGGAACCTCCTATGTGCTGCATCTTTGGATGGAAATTGGAGTCTCAGAGACAATTCAGGCTCCACCATGCTTCCAGAAGCTCAGAGTCCAGGGCTGAGAACCCAGCGGAGAACAGATGGGGTTATGTGGACGTGGTAATGATAACACCGGAAGCCTTAGGCAAGAAAAGAGTCCCATTGAAGAAACCATGAGGGCAGACATGTTTACTTGAAGAATAGAAAACTACATTGAAATTATAAAAAAAATTTATAAGTTTTACTGCTGACAGAAGGCTGAAAGATACTCTGAGGAAAGGTGGAATAGCACGTATCTAAGTGCCGTGTTAAGAGGGAGCCTCTTATATGTTTGGAATTGTGAGTTCCTCAGTGTGATCGCAGCCTCAAGTAGACTAGGAAGTAAGCCAGTTAGGTTGGAGAGGTGGGCAGGGGTCAAGTGAAATGGAGAATTGTGGGCTAAGCAAGTGTGTTTTCTCTCCAGCAGGCAGTGGGGACCTTAGACATTTGTAAGCAAGAGAGAGGCATGTTCAGATTCGTGGTGTGAGGAAGAGCGATGCCCTAAGATGCAGACTCACGCCTTCAGAGTCCAGCTGCTGGTACATGGGAGCTGGCAACCCGGTTTTGAGACAGGGCTATTGTCTCCCTAGAAGATCCCATCAAGGCCTGACTGTGGTGCTAGTGGACAGAAGACAACTTTGGATCTGCGCTCAGCATTTGGAAGTTCCGTGTTACACGCTGGTATCTGTTGGGGGTGTCTTGGGCCTCTGAGAAGGGCGAGTGATTTTTCTCTGTGTGAAAACGCAGTGATTCAACTGTGCGTATGTCACCTCCTGAGGGTCTTGTTCATCAGAGTCCTGGAGGGAGGGAAATGCTGAGTGAGGGAGGGTGCTCACATTTTCCAGGACTCTTTGGGAATAAGACTAGCCACGAGGCTGGGCGGAGGAGCACCTACCTCCCTGTTCACTGTTCTGTTCCCTGCAGGCTCCTGGTCCATTACAACAGCATCTGTAGAAGACGGAAGTCGTCAAAACAGCTCGGAGGGCACTTCTGGGTCCTCATTTCATAAGCAGATACCAACATACAGGGGGAGGCCATAGGTGCCTGAGGTCCCTCAGTTGCCAACAGCAGACTCAGACATTCTATCTCTCTGAGCTCAAGGATCCATCCCATGTATAGCTCTGAGTTCCCATCCTATTGATTCTGTGTCCCACTTTCTGCCTGTCATGGAACCTTCTCCTGGATGTGAGTGGCTGCAGGGGATGTGAGGATACGGTTCAGAATCAGGCAATGGTCTGTGAGCTGAAGGCAGAGGCAGGGAGTCTGGTGCTCTCTCTAGAAAGTCCTGCCTCTGTGGCTCCTGCCTTGGGCCAGGGACCATCCAGTCTGTGAGGAACTCACACCTGAGTGCTCCCATCCTGCTTCCCCACATGGCCCTGAGCTCTCTGGCTTCTGCTTCGTGAGACTTACTCTTTTTGTTGGCACACCAGCGATGAAGGAGAAAGAAGAGGAGGATAGCAAAGGGGATGATGACCACTGAGGTCCCAATCAGAACGTGCAGGTTTCTGGAGTTACCTGGAGGAAGACAAGACACCAATAAGAAGCTAATCATAGCAGTTCCTCTATATGAATTGTCTCACATTTCTTGATTGACAGGTAACCACATACAACGTCTCTTTAGGACAAGCACCCAGATGGCGGGAGACCTAGCTTCCTCCTGCTTTCTCAGTTGTAGTAACCATAGAACGTGCTGAGGATACAACTGCTTTAGTTTAGATGTTTGACCCCTTCAAACCTCACATTGAAATGTAACCCCCAGAGTGGGAGGTTGGGCCTCTTGGGAGTTGTTTGGGTCATGGAGGTGGATCCATCATGAACAGATCAATGCTGTTCCAAGGAGACGGGGTTAGCAAGTTCCCCCTCTATTAGTTCCTGGAGAACTGGTTGTTAAAAGAGCTTGGAAGCTCCATCGCTCCCCCTCCCCCTTGGTCCCTCTCTTGCCGTGTGATCTCTGTGGTCTCTGCACAGACAGACCCTCCTTCCCTTCTGCCAGAGTGGGAGCAGCCTGAGGCCGTCACAAGAAATAGATGCTGGTGCCATGCTTCCAGTACAGCCTGCAGAACTGTGAGGCAAACACATTTCTTGTCTTTAGAAGTTACCCAGGCTCAAGTGTTCCTTTAGAGCAACAAAAATGGACTAAGACAGCAACGTCCTGAGATCAGGAGGAACATCCCAGAACAGCCTGGGCTGTCTTCCTGTTCTTCCTGGAGGAGGACGTCATGCAGTGCTTTAGCTGAGTGCTTCCTGTGGCTCCAGGGTACAAAACCCAGGCTGGGCTGCTTTTTGATTTCCCCCAGATACACTGCATATGGGGTGACTCCACATGTCTCGAGCAGCTTTTCTGAGCCTTGAGGGACTGGCTCACATTGAAATGTAGGTTTCTGTTGTCACTCGCTGCTTATCTGTTAGTAATGAACCTGCCTGTGTAATGTGTTCTCTGTGTGTTCTGTCTCCCTGGAGTGACGGTGAGTGATAGGAATTGGTATAGGCCCAGGTGCATTCCAGGAGGTGTTTAGAATCTTCTCTGGGAAGACTGGATTGGGATTGATACACAGCGAATGTGCTTTACAGTTTCTACCACCACAACCCTCTTGACTCAAAAAAATTACATTCTCCAAGAAAAGAAAGAAAAAATGAAATCAAGATAAAAAAAGTGAAGTAGAACTGACTTAAATCAAACAGCCATGAAATAATGATGTAGCCCAGGAACAACATGCTACTTTTTGTGATCTGCTGAGACATATATTAGGCTGCTATTCCACCCGAGAAGCACGGGGAAGGACCGCCCTCTCCGTCGTTTATTGTTTCAATACAGCCTGTCCTTCTGTGAGTTAGTACGAAATGTGACCAGGGGCTAGTGCTGGCACTGGTCTCTGAGTCCAAGATCTGAGCTCACTCCAAAGAGTATTAGTGTTTACCTCCCCATGATCTATCTGTATCTCCATAGGTGATTGGAAGTAGAGATGAATTGGGGGATTTGGGTGAAGGGGCAAGTTTTATGCCATGAACAGAGCACGTTCTCTATTCCAGGACCTGTGCTGGTGGGTTCAGGAGGCTTTCACATTTTCCATATGATCCCAAGCTCACAGAAAGCCAAATAAGGAAGAGGTTTAACCTGATTGTTTAATGGATAAGATAAAGGGTCAAAGAATTAAACACAGAGAAATAGAAAAATGATGGTTGGTATCCAGTTGCCTTTGTAATTTCTGTGTGTCATAATTATGTATGTTTTATTTTTATTTTTTGAGACAGAGTCCCCCTGTGTCAGGCTGGAGTGCAGTGATGCGATCTCAGTTCAACCTCTGCCTCCAGGGTTGAAGCCATTCTTCTGCTTCAGCCTCCCCAGTCGCTGGGATTACAGGCAGGTGCCAATGCACCAGGCTAATTTTTGTATTTTTAGTACAGACGGGGTTTCACCATGTTGGCCAGGCTGGTCTCAAACTCCTACCCTTAAGTGATCTACCCGCCTTGGCCTCCCAAAGTGTTGGGTTACAGGTGTGAGCCCCCATCCACAGTCTTGTATATTATATTATACTAGGTCCCTTCATTTGCACCACCCCTCATGTGTCTATCGCTCCTCTGCCAGGTATTGATTTAGATGTAGAAAAAAAACACATCTCAGAAAGAAATTAATGAAACAAGGATTAAACTACTAGGAAAAATCAAACCCAGCAAGCCCTCCCTGCAAATGATTCTACCTCACAAGCATAGCTTATATCCATCTTTCATTCATTTAGTGTGTAAATCAACCCTACGTTTCACCAGTGGGGCGGGAATTGCCTTTTCCACGGTCTCCTAGATTCCAGTTACGCACCTGGGCCTCCCTTATTTTCATGTCGGTCACTGTTAATCAGGTAGGGATTCCTAGTTAGCTCTGAGTTGAATCCAAGGGCTGTGAGTATCAAAAACATGCTCCTTGTTCCTCCTTAGTTTCCTGTGTACCCAGTGTGCTCTCCATCTCTCTACAGTTGTCTTGTCATTCTCCCCATCTCATTCCCAGCATTTGAGGCAGAGCCTCTTCCTTGAACTAAGAATGTTTCCACCTTTGTGCCTTCACGGCTGAGAGCTCAGTGTGGAAAATCCTTCCGCCAATCTTCCAAGGGTTGAATCCATTTTTTCCATTAAGGTCACAAATATTATCTGATCAGTGAGACCTTCTCTGTCACCTGAAATTATATACTCAGCATTATCTATTACTTATTTTAAATCCTGGCTGGGCGCAGTAGCTCTCGCCTGTAATCTTTGCACTTAGGGACGCTAAGGCGGTGGGATCACTTGAGATTGGGAGTTTGAGACAGCCTGCACAACATGGTGAAACCTCATTTCTACTAAAAAATATACCAAAAAAATTAGCCGAGTGTGGTGGCGCACAGCTGTAATCCCAGCTACTCGGTAGGCTGAGGCAGGAGAATTGCATGAACCCAGGAGGCAGAGGTTGCAATGAGCTGAGATTGTGCTACTGCACTCCAGCCTGTGGAACAGAGAGAGACTCTACTCAAAAAAAAAAAAGAAAACAAAAAACACACACACACACAAAAAACCCCAGATTTGGTGCACAGATGCTTCCCAATGGATCATTCATTTATTGGTACCCTTGTGCATTCATTCTCTGCCCTCGCATTTACCCATCTGCAATATCAGCGTCCCAAGAGCAGAGGCCAAATGCATCCTGTTTACCATTTGTGGAAGGCAGGAGAATGCTGCCCCACCCCCAAAATGTCCCTGTCTTAGCCTCCATAGCTTGTGAATATGTTATTTTACAGGAAAGGAGGAATGAAGATTGCAGATGGCATTACGGTTGCTAATCAGCTGAACTTAAAAAGAGGGTACGCTGGATGATTTTAGGGAGATTGAGATGGATTATCTTGGTGACCCCAATAGAATCCCAAAGTCCTTAAAAGATGAGGAAGAAGGCAGAGCAGGATTCAGAGAAAAAGGTATGGGTAAAGAAGAAGAGTCTGAATGATGCCATGTGAGACGTGACCAGCCTTTGTGGGCTTTGAGGAAGGAGGAAGGAGGAAGGGGACCAGGGGCCCAGGAACGTGGGAGCCTCTAGGAGCTGGGAAACGTTAAGGAGCAGATTCTTGCTTGGAACCTTAAAAAGAAATCCAGCCTTACTGTCCCTTTGATATCAGCCCAGTGAAATGCAGTTCATACTTCTGAGTTACAGCACTGTGAGATAATTAAGAAAAACATGTTTTCATCCACGAAGCTTGTGGAAATTTGTTATGGCAACAATAGGAAAAGATTCCACACTGCACAGCCAGAGCATGGGGCATTGGCTGAACGAGTGAGTGAGTGGAAGTGTCGTGTGCATAAATAAGCTAAATTCTCTCTTACTGCACGTCTCTTGCTCTGCTGAGTCAACCAGGGTTGCATCTGGTACACTGCTGATACGAATGCAAATTAGTACAGCCATTACAGAGGAGAAGAGTATGGAAGTTCCTCAAAAAATAAAATGAGGTCGGGCACAGTGGTTCATGCCTGTAATCCCAGCACATTGGGAGGCCGAGGTGGGTAGGTCACTTGAGGTCAGGAGTTGAAGAGCAGCCTGGCCAATATAGCGAAACTCTGTCTCTACTAAAAATATAAAAATTAGCCGAGTGTGGTGGTGGGAGCCAGTAACCCAGCTACTTGGGAGGCTGAGGCTGGGGAATCTCTTGAATCCTGGAGGTGGAGGTTGCAGTGAGCCCAGATGGCACCACTGCACTCCAGCCTGGGCAACAAGAGTGAAACTGTCTAAAAAAAACAAAAACAAAAACAAAAACCATAAAACAAAATGTAAAAAGACACTTCCAGAGGATCTAGCAATTCCATGACTGGGTGTAAACCCAAAGGAAAGGACATCAGCGTATCGAAGTGACATCTGCACTCCCATGACTGTTCCAGCAGTGTTCACAGTAGCCAAGATGTGGATCAACCTACCTGCCCATCAGTGGGTGAATGGATGGAGAGAATGTGGTACACACACACAATAGGGACAACTCATCCATAGAAAGAGTAACATCCTGTCATTTACAGCCACATGAATGGAACTGGAGGTCATTACAAGTATTTCCATTTCTCACTCATATGCAGGAGCTAAAAGGTGGATCTCACAAAGGTAGAGAGTAGAATGGTGGCTACCAGAGGCCAGGAAGGGAAGGGTGGAGGGTAAAAAAAAAAGAATACTAATTAATTAATTAATTAATTTTGAGAGAGTGTCTCTCTCTGTTGCCCAGGCTGCAGTGCAGTGGCATGATCTCAGCTCACTGCAACCTCCGCCTCCTGCAATTAAGTGCAACTCCTGCCCAACCCTCCCAAGTAGCTGGGACTACAGGCATGTGCCACCATGCTCGGCTAATTATTATCATTATTATTATTATTTTGTATTTTTAGTACAGATGGATTTTCCCCATGTTGGCCAGGGTGGTCTTGAGCCCCTGATCTCAAATGATCCACCTGCCTTGGCCTCTCAAAGTGTTGGGATTACAACAGTGAGCCACCGTGCCCAGCCTATAAATGTATTTATGAACAGTAGACTTCACACTTAAAAATGGTAAAGGTGGTAAATTACATAGGTATATTTCACCTCAATAAATATTTCTTCAAACAAAAAGAAAAGGGTGTAGGCGTTGCTGGTGATGACATCTCTCTGTGGGTGACAGGCCAGGATGGGCTTCTGGGAAGTGGGTAAGGTTGAGGGGCTGAGAGAACCTCTGATCTCCCCAGGCAGAGCCCAGTCTCCCTCCTCTGGGTCTGTTCTGACCTCTTTCTCCATCTGCCTGGGTGCCTGGAACCCTGATCAAGGGCCTCCTTGCAGGCCATACAGGAGGGTTTGGAGGTGCCCTGTCTGCCATCCTGCCCCCTGACCCCGCCCTTACACCCATGCTGTGTGTTCTGTCTCGGCATCTGTCCATGCTTCTCTCCATCATCAGCAGGAAGCTCCTCAGCTATGGCTCTAGGATCACAAGACATGGGACAGGCATGGTGTTTTCTCACCTGTGACAGAAACGGGCAGTGGGTCACTCGGGTCTGACCACGCGTGGGGCAGGGCACGGAAAGAGCCGAAGCATCTGTAGTTCCCTCCGTGGGTCACAGGGCCCAGAGGGAAGTTGGCCTGGAATGTTCCATTGACCCTCAGCACCGCAGTGAGCCTAAGTTCACCGGCCTCTGCCTCCCTGGATAGATGGTAAATGTCAAACAAGCTCCGGGAGCTGCAGGACAAGGTCACATTCTCTCCTGCCTGAACCGTGGGGCCCGGCTGGGCTGAGAGAGAAGGTTTCCCATATAGACCTGGAAGGAGAAGAGGTGGTTTCCTCAGGGAGGTTCTTCGTTGTCACAGCTCTCCTCACACCTGAGCTGAGAACTCACTCCCCTGCTCTATGACTTAATGCTCTCTTTCTCTCTCTCACCCTCCACCCCCATCTCTCTTCATGTCTATTTCCTCCTTCCACCTTCTCTGTCTCTCTAGGTCTCTGACCTCACTTCTCCATCCCTAGCTATGTTTTCTTTTTTTGTACCATTTTATTCTCTCTGACCCTCCTTGGACTGGTTGACTTGATCTTCCTCTTTCTTTAATTCTGAGTCTCTCACTTTCTGTCTTGCTCATAACTTTCTGCATATTTCTATCTACTATCTATTGATCGATCTATCATTTATCTATGTATGTATCTATCATCTATCATCATCTGTGTATCTATGACCTATCTCTCTGTTATCTATCATCTATCAATCAATGTATGTATGTATGCATCTATCCATCTATCATCATGTGTTTATCTTTCTATCTCTCTATATCTATTTATATATCATCTGTCTGTCTTTCTACTTGTCTATCTATATCATCTATCAGTCATTCATCATCTATTTGTCTATCACCTGTCTCTCTATTATCTATCATCTACCTTTTATCTTTCATCTATCTATATCTATCTATCCATCTATCATCTGTCTCTCTCCATCTCCTTGTCTTTCTCTGCCTCTCAGTCTCTCTAGTTCCCTTTTGGAGTCTCTGCAATCCATCCCCACATCTTTATCTTTCCCTGTCTTTGTGCCCCTCCCTCAGGGCTCTGATTTTAGGGCTTTTCTCTGCTTCCTTCCATCATACGCTCCACTTCTCTGCCCTCTTTTTCTATCTCTTTATGTGTCTGTGAGTCTCTCAATTCCCTTCTTCTGGCTCATTCTGTGTGTGTGTTCATGTCTTTGCTTTTTGATTTCCCTGATTTCACTCCGTGTCTCTCTGTGGGCTTTTGTTCTCAGTAATCCTATAACATGTGGTGCTATTTGAATATGAGCCTCAGAATCCAGTATGGGGACTCCAGGAACTCACAACATACAGGGGTTGGTGTTCTGCTCCCTCACCTGGGGCCATGGTGTCCTGCGACGACGACAGCTCCACTGCACGGAAGGCAGAGGTTTAAGAATAAACACAGCATCTGTAGGTGCCACCAGCCTGGGGCCACACGGCCCAACTCAGGCCAGATAGATGTGTCTCTTTGGGTTCTCCTGGGAGAGAACACTTTGTAGAGGTAAAACAGAATGGAACCTTCTAACCTGTGCCTGGTCTCTGAACAAAGTCAGCATAGAAGGACACCTCTCTCTGGGATATATCTGTCTCTCTGTGTCTTCTTTACCTCTTTATCTCTTTTTCTAACACCTTGTATGGCCCCTGTGTCTGGCTTCTATGTTATGACATGAGGTCTGTACTTGTGTCTCCTGTTTCTCTGCCTTTGTTGGTACAGACCTCACCAAGTCACTTTCTCTCCATAGGAACCCCACACTCATCTTCCTCATGACCACCTGGGGCTTCCAGTCCTAGATCATTCACTCCATCTCCCAGCAAGGGTGAGAGGCAGGTCTGTATTCTCTCACCTACGACCACGATGTCCAGAGGGTCACTGGGAGCCGACAACTCATAGGGTAAGTGAGTGACAGAACCAAAGCATCTGTAGGTCCCTGCAAGGGCAGGTGTCATGGGACCCATGGAATAGTTGACCTGGGAACCCGCATCGTGGAGCTGTCCAATGAGGCGCAAGGGGTCCTCAGTGATCCCCTCTCTGTGCAGAAGGAAGCGCTCAAACCTGACATCTGACCAACATTGCAGGATGACCGTCTCTCCCGATTTCACCAGGGGACCTGGGTGGGCCAGGAGGGAAGGTTTTCTGTGGACTCCTAAGAAGAGAGGTTGTGAGTTCAGAAGGCGTCTCCCTTTCTCATCCCATTCATGGGACCTGAAATAAGTGAGGCTTCCCCTCCATGGTGTCTATCTCTCTCCTTCCTCTCTGTGTCTCCGTGTTCTTTTGTGCCCATAACCCCTGTTGCAGGTCCCTCCATCTGTCTCCCTCCCTCTTCCCTGTCTCTCTGTCTCTAGTAGCCCTGATTCCCTTCCCACTGTGCTCAGTGTCACCTCTTATGCTGTTGTATCTGTTTCCCACTAATCTCTTTCCTGGTGTTTATGTGGGGGTGGAAGAGGAACCACGACAGGCTGCATGTCCAGGCTCTTAGCAGCCTGAATCAATCTCTTTTGGACAGATTGGAAAGGCTGGCAGGAGGTACGAACTCATCAGTAAGGCAGGCATCAGTGTCCCTGTTCCTGATGGGGATTGGGAGCCTCTCCTGTCATGTCTGTGCCTTCTCCATGGCCCCAGCTTCCATAGGGTGGCCCCTGGTGCTGGTTCCAGGAGCATCAACCCCTCCCTATGTGGATCGAGCCTGGTGGTAGCATCAGTATCCCACCCATGCTAAAATCAGTGTAGCCAACCTTCTCCTTGTTTGGTTTCTTAACTTGTGCTTCACCTGGGTTCCTGTGTTGGTTTCCTGTTGCTGCTGGAGAAAATTGTCACAAACATGGGGCAAGAGAGAATACAATGACCCCTTCCACTTCTGGAGAACAGAAATCGGACCCAGTTCTCTCTGGGCTAAAATCAAGGCATCTACAGGGCTGTGTTTCCTCTGGAGACTCAGGGAAGAATCAGTTCCCTTGACTTCTCCAGCCCTTAGAGGCCAACTGCCTTTGTGGCTCATGGCCTTCCCCCATCTTCAAAGCCCGCTGTGGCTGATGGAGTCTCCCTCCCACGACGTTGCTCTAACCCCACTTTCCTCTTCCTCCTCCTCTCATGAGGACCCTTGTGATTACTCTGAGCACAGCAGGACAGTCCAGGCTGTCTCCCCATCGCAAGGTCAACCCATCAACAACCTGAGCTCCATCTTCCCCTTCAGTCCCCTGCC
Organism: Homo sapiens; assembly: GCF_000001405.40. Taxonomy (NCBI): domain Eukaryota; kingdom Metazoa; phylum Chordata; class Mammalia; order Primates; family Hominidae; genus Homo; species Homo sapiens. The sequence continues at coordinate 632,203 of NW_003571054.1, read as the reverse complement.
CTATGACATAAATAGTCACAGGGTTCATGGATTACCATGTAGCCATCACTGGGGACAATTATTCTTCCCACCACAGCAACTATTTCTCTGTACTGAATCCCCCTTTACCCCAAATACAGTCTGGGCCTGGATGATTGGACCCTGATGGACACCCCCACCAGAAGCTCTGGGATTCAGGAGGTGGGACAGTGAGAAGCCCAGACAGAAAGCCTCTGACCTGTGACCATGATCACCACAGGGTTGCTGGGTGCCGACCACCCAGTGGGGGAGTGTGGGTGTGAACTGCAACATCTGTAGGTCCCTGCATGTGCTGGGGTCACAGGGCCCATGAGAAAGCTGTTCCGGAATATTCTGTTGTAGAGCTCAGGGACAGGCATCCCGTCTTCTTTGGACAGACTGAATTCGTTAAACCCAAGACGAGAGCGACACTGAAGAGTCACATGTTGTCCTTCAGACACCACAGTGCCGGGCCAGGCAGAGAGGAAGGGCTTGTCCTGACCACCTGGGGGAGAAGGAGGCACTACCTTAGAGAGGAGGATGTGGAGCCGCCCCTCCCTCCCTGTGCTCAGAAGATTCTCCCATTTCCACGTTTCTAAGGCTCCTACCACACCTGGGTGCCCAGGGCTACAGGAAGGACCCATCCCGCATAGACATGGCGTCTCCCTACAGCAAGTGTCAGCTGAGAACTTTGAGCAGGTGCTGAAGAAGCGACTCTTACTAGATTTTAACACTGCAAAATTACTTACATAAAAGAACACAAGGTAGACACAGGATGGAGGGCATGATCAGCTAATGCATGAACCATAATAAACAACTGAGCCCCTATTAGAAGATCTGGAATGTCAGGGTCATGACTGTGGTTCCCCCACCTCTTAGGTAGAATGACAGCAGCCACATTGCAGCCCCTACCGTCATGGAAACGCTGGAGGGTGTGAGTTATGCTCTTGTCCTCAGAGGCCTGTTGTTCCTTGCACTGCTTCTCTCCCTTCCTCTGCCGGTGACACCACTTCCTCCCTGCACACCACTCCTTTGAGCACTTCAGTCTCCCCCTGGGTCCCCACAGACTCAGCCAAGGGAAAGAAAGGCCGGGGAGGGCTAGGACAGAACTGTGGCGAAGCTTCCCCTGGCTTCCTTTTCCTAGTTCATGAGAGATTCCCACATGGCTTCCCATGGTCAGCCCATCAGTCAACCCCCTGTGTCGCCTGCCTCCCGTTTCAGGAACATCATCTTATGTGGGGAGATGACAACCTAAGGTTTGGGGGAAGGACTCACCCACATGTGGCCAGGGCCCCTCCAGCAAGAAGAACCCTGGAAAGAAAGATCATGATGGATGATCCATCTGTACATCACCTCCAGGCCCATATCTCCACTCCAGGCCCATATCTCCACTTCCGTCCTATATCTCTACTCCAGGCCCATATCTCCACTCCAGGCCTATATCTCCACCTCTGTCCTATATCTCTACTCCAGGCCCATATCTACACTCCAGGCCCATATCTCCACCTCCAGGCCTGTATCTCCACCTCCAGGCCCGTGTCTCCATTCCAGGCCCATATCTGCACTCCAAGCCAACATCTCCACTCCAGGCCCATATCTCTACTCCAGGCCCATATCTACAGTTCCAGGCCCATATCTCCACCTCCAGGCCCATATCTCCACTCTAGGCCCATATCTCCACCTCCAGGCCCGTATCTCAATTCCAGGTCCATATCTGCACTCCAAGCCAATATCTCCACTCCAGGCCCATATCTACAGTTCCAGGCCCATATCTCTACTCCAGGCCCATATCTCTACTTCAGGCCCATATCTACAGTTCCAGGCCCATATCTCCACTCCAGGCCCATATCTCCACCCCAGGCCCATATCTCCACTCCAGGCCTATATCTCCACTCCAGGCCCATATCTCCACTCCAGGCCCATATCTCCACTCCAGGCCCAGATCTCCACCCCACCGCTCCCTCCCTCGATTCCCTTCCAGGACTCACCAACACACGCCATGCTGACGACCATGAGCGACATGGTGCTGCCGGTGCAGACAGGCGGCTGCGCCCCAGCTCAGTTCAGCAGCACACAGGATGTTGTGAGGGGCTCATGCAGTTTACATGCTGACCACATCATGGGAGGATGACGTATGCAGGCTATTTCTACCTTGCATGAGGCCCAGTGGCTGTTTGGTCAAGAGCAGAACATGGCTTCCTGGAAATTGTTCCAACTAGAATTGACACCTTGCATCCTTCACTATAACCAACTCAAAACACGTCTCAGATCCAATCTCTCATACAGGAGATGACTGAATGCTTGGCTTACATTAAAGACTTTTGATGTATTTTTGTTGTTTTTATCTGAGATTCAAACTCTTCTTCATGTGCTATTTTCCCCAGGCTGTTCTTTGACTTCAGAGTTCAAGCAATCCTCCTGCCCCAGCATTTCTAGCAGCTGGCAGTATGTCACAATCTGCCACACCCAAGTCACAACTTTTAGAACTTTTTTTTTTTTTGAGATGCAATCTCACTTCGTCACCCAGTTTGGAATGCAGTGGTGAGACCTCGGCTCATTGCAGCCTCCACCTCCCAGGTTCACGCAATTCTCGTGCCTCAGCCTCCTAAGTAGCTGGATTTACAGGCACCCACCACCACGCCCACCTAATTTTTGTACTTTTAGTAGAGAGGAGGTTTCTCCATGTTGGCCAGGCTGGTCTTGAACTCCTAACCTCAAGTGATCTGTCTACTTCAGCCTCCCAAAGTGCTGAGATTACAGGTGTGAGCCACCATGCCTGGCCGGGACATTCTATATGTGTGCGTATGTGTGCATTTATATACATATGGTTATACACACACACACACACACACACACACACCCTAAGCACTCACATATATAGTTGTTTCAAATTTTAAAAAATATAAATTTTGTATTTTTCTTTCTTTTTCTCACATTTGTGTTTCTATGACACCATATACATATTGAATTTTATAGCTCTATTTTATTCTTTTGGATTGCAGTTTAATAGTCCATGCATAACTTTATCAACATGTAATTATCCATTCTTTTTATCATGGACATTTGTGTTGTTTCCGGATTTTCTCTTTTATAACTCGGGCCTTGATAATCGTGTTTCTGTGTGATCCCTTGCATACATATGCTGAATTAATTAGACATATTTACCTAGAAATGAAATTATTGGTTTTGGGTGCAAGTTGGTGTTGAGCTTAACCAGGAAGTGCCAAAATATTTCCATCATGACCAAATGTGGCCTGGAAAGTTTTTTGGGGTCAATTTTCCTGTTTCTTCTAAGGAACAAAATTGATGTCACTGATTTTTCTGTCCTGTTTGTCATTTATGAATGTATGTACATATGCACGTATATATTTGCTTGCCATTTTATGTTTTTCCTCGACGTTACTTTGGAATTAATTTGCTGATGTGTAGTATTTCTGCAAGTGAAAGTTACCTATTTACTCAGCTCTTCCTTCTTTTCTAACACAGACATTTGAGGCTTATTGTCCCTTAACGCTGTTCTATCTGTATCCCCAGTCATTTGCCGAGATGTGTTTTCATTTTTAATTGATACAAAATATTTTCCACCTTTCTTTGAAATGTTTTTCTTCCACTCATTGTTTATTGCTATGTGTGTTTATTAATTTTAAAATATTTGATAATTTCCCCAGCATTTCCTTGTTGTACATTTATAATTTAATTCAACTGTTTCATCTATCATATTACCTATGATTCAGCATTTAAAAATTTATTTTGGTGAATGTTCCAGGGGTGCTAGACAAGTTTGTGGATTAGGAAGATTTGAGGTGGATGTTTTCTAAATGTCAGTTAAGAAAAAAATCATTCAAATGTTTTTCTTTATTTAAAAAAAATAGAGACGGGGTCTCACTATGGTGCCCAGGCTGGTCTCAAACTCCTGGCCTCAAGTGATCCTCCCATTTTGGCCTCCCAAAGTGCTAGGATTATTGAAATTATTAAATGTTTCATATCAACACCCAACCTTATGCACCCGCCGCCTACACAAATGTTTTTCAAGTCTTTCATATGCTTAATAATTTTCTGTGTACTTGTTCTGGAAGTGAGGTGAATGTTGCTATCTCTAGCTGCAATTTGGATGTGATTGATTATGTTTTGAATTATGCCTTTAATTTAATGTGTTTTGAGGTTCCAGCTTTAAGTGTGTAGGCATTTAGGATGATTATGTCTTATTTATGAATTTGCCTCTTTGTCATTATGAAGTACTCCTCTTCATATCTCCATATATCTCTTCTTTGTATGTGCATGGTGAAATATTTCATTCTTTGAGTTAAGAAACTTCTATTGAGGAATACTTTTTATTACAAACATTTACCTATTCTATGTATACAACTGACTAGAAGCATATTTTGCACTGGGCATTATCATGACAAGGTAATGTCATTCTTTCAATATTTACATCTTGTGGATTAGTATTTGAAGTGCAGCTTATGTAGACAGCATAAGGTTGGGTGTTGATATGAAACATTTAATAATTGCACACGTATTTGCCTCTTGGGATACTTCCACTTTTTTGAATTTCAAGTTACTAAATGGTATCATTAATCTTTGCTTCAAGAGCTTAACATTTATTGTAGAACAATGCTTCATGTAATAAATTGTGAGACATTTTTAATGGCACCTTTATTGCAGGAAAATGTTTTCCTTTTCAGGTTGAAAGATTCTAGTTTGAAATATTTTCTTGTAGCACTTTAAAAATGTTGGTCCACCTGTTTCTTACTTTCATAGTTTTGAATACAAAGTTTGCTGTCATTCTTGTATTTCTTCTTCTGTTTTTTATTTATTTATTTTTGACAGAATATCTTGCCGTCTCACCCAGGCTGGAGTGCAGTGGCATGATCTTGGCTCACTGCAACCTCTGCCTTCCAGGTTTCAGCAATTCCTGCCTCAGCCTCCTGAGTAGCTGGGACTACAGGCATGCGCCACCATACCCAGCCAATTTTTTTTTTTGTATTTTTTTTTTGTAGAGATGAAGTTTTGCCATATTGGCCAGAACTCCTGACCTCAAATGATCCACCTGCTTTGGCCTCCCAAAGTGCTGGGATTACAGGTGTGAGCCACTGTGCTCAGGCTATTTATTCCTTTTTATATAATATGAATTCACATTCATACATACCAGGGGTTAGGATTTCAACAAACGTTTCTGGGGGAGACCACTCAAAACACAGCACTCATCCTTGGTTATTTCCAGCCATGGAGCCTGTATCAATATCCTGGTGAATTATCTAAGCTGTCCACCTACCTACCCCAAATCCTCATGGTCACATAAAAGGCTAGTATAGTATAATAATTTTTCTTTCCCTGCTTATCTACAGTGATGAAGAAACGAATATTCAAAGGGAAAAATCTTAGCTTTAGGTATAGGGTAATTCTTCTTCCTATTTTTAAATAACTTCAACCTTTACTGTAGATTAAAGGTATGCATGCAGGTTTGTTACATAGGCATATTGTGTGACTCTGAGGTTTGTGGTTCCAACAATGCCATCACCCAGGCAATGAGCATAGAATCCAACAGGTGTTTCTTCAGCCTATACCTCCCTACTCCTCCCCCCATCTGTAGTCCTCGGTATCTGTTGTTTCCATCTTTATGTTCATGTGTATTCAATGTTTGGTTCTCAGTTATAAGTGATAACATGTGGTATTTGGTTTTCTGTTCCTGGGTTAGTTCACTTAGGAGATTGACCTCCTGCTACATTCATGTTGCTGCAAAGGACATGATTTCATTATTTTTTATGGCCATGTAATGTTCCATGTGTATATGTAGCACATTTTCTTTAACTAATCCACTGTTGGTGAGCACTTAGGTTGACTGCAAATCTTTGCTATTCTGAATTGCACAGCAATGAATATACTAGTGCATGTGTCTTTTTGACATAGTTAATTACCTTCCTTTTGGTATATACCCAGTAGTGGGATTGCTTGATTGAATAGTAGTTCTATTTTAAGTTATTTGAGAAGTCTCCAAACTGCTTATCACATTGGCTGAACTAGTTAACATTCCCACCAAGAGTGTATAAGTGTTCCCTTTTCTCCACAATCTTGTCAGCATCTGTTATTAAAAAAAACAAAAAACTTTTTAGTAATTGCTTCTGCTTCTCTGATTGTTGTGAGATGGTATCTCACTGTGGTTTTAATTTGCATTTCTCTGATGATTACTGATAATAAGCATTTGTTCATATGTTTTTTGGCCATGTGTACATCTTCTTTTGAGAAGTGTCTGTTCATGTCATACTTAATTGAGGTTTTTTGGTTTTCTGCTTGTTGATTTGTTTACATTCCTTATAGATTCTGGATATTAGAACTTTGTCAGATGCATAGTTTGCAAATATTTTCTCCCAGTCTGTAGGTTATCTGTTTACTCTGTTGATACTTTCGTTTGCTGTGCAGAAGCTCTTCAGTTGAGTTAGGTCCCAATTTCTGTCTTTGTCACAATTGGTTTTGGGGAGTTAGCCATAAATTCTTTGCCAAAGTCTATCTTGAGAAGGATATTTCCTAGGTTTTCTTCTAGAATTTTAATATTTTGAGGTTTTACATTTAAATCTTTAAACTATCTTGGGTTAATTTTTGTATATAGTGAGAGTTAGGGGTCCAGTTCTATTATTTTGCATATGAGTAGTCAGTTATCCCAGAACTATTTATTGAAGAAAGGGTACTTTCCACATTGCTTGTTTTTGTCAATTTTTTCAAAGATGATTGTAGGTATGTAGCCTCATTTCTGGGTTCTCTATTCTGTCTCATTGGTCTATGTGTCTGTTTTTGTAGTAGTATCATGCTGTTTGGGTTACTATAGCATTGTAGTATAGTTTGAAGTTGGGTAATGTGATGCCTGGGCTTTGTTCTTTGTGCTTAGGATTCCTATGTGTATTCAGGCTCTTTTTTTGGTGCCAAATACATTTTAGAATAAATTTTTATAATTTCGTGAAAAATGACATTGCATTTTGAAATGGATAGCATTGACTCTGCAATTTGTTTTTGGAAGTATGGCGATTTTAACTATTTGTTCTCCTAATTCATGAGCATGGAATATTCTTCCATTTGTTTGTATCATTTCTTATTTCTTTCAGAAGTGTTTTGTAGTTCTCCTTGTAGAGAATTTTCACCTTCTTGGTTAGATGGATTCCTAGGTATTTTATTTTCTTTGTGGCTAGTGTAAATGGAATTGTGTTCTTGATTTAGTTCTCAGCTAGAATGTTAGTGGTGCATAGAAATGTTACTAATTTGTGTACATTTTTTTAATCCCGAAACTTTATTGAATTTGTTTATCAGTTTCAGGAGCCTTCTGACAGAGTCTTTAGGGTTTTCTATGTATAAAATTATTTCATCAGCAAAGAGAGACAGTATCACTACTTCTTTTCCAATTTTAATGCCTTTTATTTCCTTCTCTTGCCTGATTGCTTTGGCTAGGACTTCCAGTACCATGTTGAATTAAAATGGCGGGAGTGGTCATCTTGGTCTTGTTTCGGTTCTCAAGGGGTATGGTTCCAGCTTTTGCCCATCAATATGATGTTGGCTGTGGGTTTGTCATAGATGGCTCTTAATATTTTGAGGTATGTTCCTTTGATGCCTATTGACAGTTTTTATCATGAAGGGATGTTGGATTTTACAGAAAGCTTTTTTTGCATCTATTGAGATGATCATATAGTTTTTGTTTTTAATTATGTTTATGAGGTGAATCACATTCGTTGACTTTGTAGGTTGAACCAACCTTGCATCCCAAAAATAAAGCTTACTTGATCATGTGAATTAACTTTTGATGCACTGACAGATTCAATTTGCTAGCATTTTGTTGAGGATTTTATGTCTATGTTCATTAAGGATATTTAGTTGTAGTTTTCTTTTTTTCATTATGTCTCTGACAGATGTTGGTATCATGGTGATGATGGCTTCATAGAATGAGTTAGGAAGAAGCCCCCACTCCTTGATTTTTTCCAAAAGTTTCAGTAAGATCGGTATCAGTTCTTCTTTGTATGGCTGTTGGATTTTGGCTGTGAATCCGTCTGGTCCTGGGCTATTTTTAGTTAGTAGGGTTTTTATTACTGATTAAATTTCTGAACTTGTTATTGGTCTGTTCAGGTTTTCACTTTCTTCCTGGTTGAAATATGATAAATTTTGTGTTACCAGGAATTTATCCATTTCTTCTAGGTTTTCTAGCTTGTTTGTATAGAGGTGTTCATAATAGTCTTTGACGATCTTTTCTATTTCTGTGGGATTGTTCGTAACATTGTTTTGTCAGTTCTATTTGTGTTTATTTGGATCTTTTCTCTTTTTCTTTGTTAATCTAGCTAACAGTCTATGAATTTTGTTTATTTTTTTTCAAAGAAAAACTCTTGGTTTTATTTATCTCTTGTATGGACTTTTTGGTCTCAATTTATTCAGTTCTCTCTGACTTTAGTTATTTCTCATCTTTTGCTGGCCTTGGGTTTGGACTGTTCCTTTTTTTTAATAGTTCCTCTAGATGCAGTGTTAAGTCACTAATTTGAGATCTTTCTAAACTTCTGATGAGGCATGTATTGCTATAAATTTTCCTCTTATCACTGCTTTAACTGCATCCCAAAGGTTTTGGTAAGTTTGTTTCTATTTTTATTAATTTTAAATAATGTTTTGTGATTTCTGCTTTAATTTCATTGTTCACCCAAGAGTTCTCAAGGGGTACAGTTCCAGCTTTTGACCATTCAATATGATGTTGGCTGTGGATTTGTCATAGATGGCTCTTAATATTCATTCAGAAACAAGTTGTTAAATTTCCATGTTTTTCTGTAGTTTTGAGAGATCATCTTGGTATTTTTTTCTATTTTTATTGTGTGCCTTGTTATGATTTTGATTCTTTGAATTTATTGAGACTTGCTTTGTGGCCAGTCTTAGAATATGATATGTTTTTTGTGTGTGCAGATAAGAAGAATCTATATTCTGCAGTTGTTGGGTGGAGTACTCTGTAGATGTCTATGAGGTCCAATTGGTCAAGTGTTGTCTTTAAGACCAGAATTTCTTTGTTAGTTTTCTGTTTTAGTGATTCATCTGACGTTGTTAGTGGGATACTGAAGTCCCTTACTATTATTGTGTGGCTGTCTAACTCTTTTCATAGGTGAAGAATAACTTGTTTTATGAATCGGAGTGCTCCAAATTTGGGTGCATATATATTTAGAATAGTTAAGTCTTCTGTCAAATTGAACCCTTTATCATTTTGTAATGCCCTTCTTTGTCCTTCCTGATTGCTGTTGATTTAAAGTGTGTTTCATGTGATATAAGAATAGGAATGCCTTCCTTTTTTTTGTTTCCTGGTTGCCTAGTAAATATTTCTTCATCCTTTTACTTTGAGCCTGTGGGTGTCATTACATGTGAGATGGGTCTCTTGAAGACAGCAGGCAGTTGGCTCTTGGCTTTTTATCCACGTTGCCACTCTATGCCTTTTATGTGGGGAATTTAGGCCATTTACATTTCTTCTCCTGATATATCCTTTTTATATTTTTATGATTGCCTTTTAAAATATATTGAATGGTTGTAATTCCAGGGAAATGTCTTTCAGAACAGTATTTATTCCTATCTACATGTTTTGGAGAGTGCACTAGGGGACATTGAAGTTTATTTCCTGAAAAGAGTTTAATTTTAAAATGTATTTTATTTAATAACTCAATGATTCAGGGAATGTCTAGGTATTTCAGAGATTGTTTTAGACAGTTTGTTTTCTTGTGATATGTGACCACTTCATCTAAGCTGAATAATGTCTTCATAATGTCCACTTAGAATCTTTTGAATTCTGTAGGATCTGTACTGATGTCATTGTTTCCTTTCTGATATTGGTAATTTTCCTGGGGTAGGATTCTTAGCTCCTCCTGAGGTCCTGCCTCTAAAATTCAGGGAACAATGAGTCAGATTAGTACTCTGATTTCAAAGGGAAAGCTGATCATCTACCATTTTTTGTTTATGTAAATGGACACATTAACATCCCTTGTCTGAACCTTAGTTACCTTGTTTGGAGCATTTTGCTATAAATCTCACTTCTCAGAGTGGTTGTGGGGCTTGATGTGGCTGGGGTATGGGATGGCTTAAACATAATTTATTTCCAGACCAGGTTAAGGCATGAAGGGGTTGGGACTTGTTAGAATCCTGTTGTCGGACTCCACAGTAAGGGTAGACATTTGAGGCACCCAATCAAAAACCTCAGTTGTTCCTAGCACTGAGAAATTTGATAGAATGTTTCTAAAACATTATTCATGGTCTAATGCACAAAAAGTAAAGTGATAGCCCTGGAAGTAGACAGGGAACCATAAGAAAAAAGAGAGAGCAAAGCTCAGTGGTCACCAGTGCCTGGGACCATCAAGGGGTTATTAAGGAGGAAGTTTCCACCTCTGTGGGGAACAGAAGAGGCTCCCTAGGGTCCACACACACAGGGAGTGAGCCAAGACTCTGGGCGAGGCTGGAAGCTCTGGGTCTCCTTCTGTGAGATTTTCTTTTTTTTTTTTGAGATGGAGTCTTGCTCTGCCACCCAGGCTAGAGTGCAACGGCGCGATCTCGGCTCATGGCAACCTCTGCATAAAGTGGTATGTATTTAAGGCATGCATTAGACAAATTACTAAGTATTTACTAGATAAGAAAAAATTATATCTGAATCTTTTCAAATTGCCGTCTTATGCATTATATTCTCTTTTTATAGTGCAATTTCTTAATAGTTAATGCCAGAAGATTTTTTTTTCTTCCTTTCTTTCTTTCTTTTTTTTTTTTTTTGAGACAGAGTCTCACTCTGTTGCCAGGCTGGAGTGCAGTGGCACGATCTCGGCTCACTGCAACCTCCGTCTCTCGGGTTCACGCCATTCTCCCGCCTCAGCCTCCTGAGAAGCTGGGACTACAGGCACCCTCTACCATGCCCAGCTAATTTTTTTTTTTTTTGTATTTTTAGTAGAGACGGGGTTTCACCATGTTTGCCAGGATGATCTCTGTCTCTTGAACTCGTGATCCACCTGCCTTGGCTTCCCAAAGTGCTGGGATTACAGGCATGAGCCACTGCACCTGGTCGCCAAAAGATATTTTTAAAAACCTAAATGCCACTTGAAATGAATAAGACCCTCAATAATTCATGGGATATACATGTGAACTTATGACATATGATGAAATAAGCAGGTTACAAAATTGTAATATATCAAGCAAGGTAGAAAGCCATGGCAGAAAAAGAGACAAGCATTTTCAAGATAAGGAATGAAAGAGGGGAAACAGTACTATTGATTTTACAGATTTTACAAAGATATCTTAGGTGTGTTTTCCTAAATAATAAATGTACCCTCCTTTTGACCTTTATGTAATGAAATAACCATGCACACATTTTCAAATAATACTTCATTTACTTGACTTTATGCTTGAAAATTGAAGTATGGTGCTGTTTGTTATTTTCATTTATGCATTTTACTACCTTGTAATATTCCACTGAGTCTATTTACCACACTATGTTTATTTTTTTCGTAGGTGGACTTTGGTATTTTATAGCTTTGGCTAATAGGAACAGCATTCCTATAACAGTTGTGAGTGTATCATGACACATAAGTAGACATTTATCTCTAGGGTACATAATTAAGTACATAATTAAGAAGGGTCACAGCCGTGTGCCTCCTCTTTTTAACTAGATAATTCCAATACACTTCCTTAATTGATTAAAGCAATTTGTACTCTTACTATTAATGTACTAAAATTCTACATGTTCAATATTCTTTCCAAAAAATGATTTTGCTACTTTTTTCTTTTATTGAGACTGAGTCTTGCTCTATCACCCAGGCTGTAGTGATCTCGGCTCACTGCAACCTCCGCCTCCTGGGTTCATGCGATTCTCGTGCCTTGGCCTCCCAAGTAGCTGGGATTAACAGGCAGGCGCCACCATGTCTGGCTAATTTTTGTATTTTTAGTAGAGACAGGGTTTCACCATGTTGGCCAGGCTGGTCTCGAACTCCTGACCTCAGGTGATCCTCCTGCCTCGGCCTCCCAAAGTGTTGGGATTACAGGCATGAGCCACCACACCCGGCCTATTTTTTTCTTTTCCCTCCATTGTGCTATGATTTTTGACATTACAATTTTACTGAAACTACACCATAAGAATGAAGCAGAAATTATTATAACCTTTAAATAAACTTTACAACTGGTTCATACTCGTGTGAACGACAATTCTTTTGACTACTTCCCAACTGTGCATTCAATGGCGTCATATGGGCACCCTGAAGTTGGCCATAAAGGACGTATTTATACCACACTAATCAGCAAATACCATAAATCTGGGGCTTTATATGTTCAGAGTTTTCTTAAGAAAATAATTTTTTCAGAGAGCCAGTTTAACAGAATACCATGAGGCTGAGCCTTCGAGCGTTAGTGTGCTCATTCTGAGAGATGATATTTCTGGACGAAGTACACAGGTATCATCCGATGAAGAGTGAAGGGAATTCAGGGTCCAGAGAGGGTGCTAGGGCATCATTTCAGACTCATATTTCCCTTTTTTTTTTTTTTTTTGGAGATAGAGTCTTGCTCTGTTGCCCAGGCTGGAGTGCAGTGGCAAGATCTTGGCTCACTGCAACCTCCGCCTCCCGGGTTCAAGCTATTCTCCCACCTCAGCTTCCTGAGCAGCTGGGATTACAGGTGCTCACTGCCACACCCAGCTAATTTTTGTATCTTTTAGTAGAGACAGGGTTTCACCATGTTGGCCAGGTTGGTCTCGAACTTCTGACCTCAAGTGATCCGCCCACCTCAGCCTCCCAAAGTGCTGGGATTACAGGTGTGAGCCACTGTGCCTGGCCTCAGACTCATGTTTCAAAGTCCCAAATACAAATCTGCCCACCTATTCCAGTTATTTAATCCAGATCTATGCTCAGAACTGAAAAGATGGAGAATCAATAGTTCACTTTAGAGAATGCGGTAGTTGGAAACAAAGACAAATGTATTACAGGACAGTGGACCAGAGCACGTGATCGCAGGGGTGTGGATGCAAACCCACCATGGGGGACGTGCCTTCACATCACAGAGAGCGAAAGGAAGGGAGGGGCAGACACGGAGGGTCCACAACAGCTGGACTGAAAGCACTGCCATTTAATGGAAGTTTAATGGAGGAAGCGTTCTCTACAGGCACCCAGACATCTCCCTGAACCTGACCCAAGCCTCCCCTTCTCGACTTTCTCAGTAGACGGTTTCCCGAATGATGGTCCAGACTTTCTTCCAGAACCTCCTAGGACTATCAGACTCATTGCCAAGGCTCTGGCACTCTGAAGGGTGCATTGTTCTCTCATGTATTTACCTCCTTGCTGCATCTTGGGGACTTCTCTAGCTGTGCCAATCCTAAAGCAGCAGAATCCCGAGGACCACCAGGACCAAGCCAGCCACAGCCACGCGGATGAGATTCTCCACTGTGTAATCCTGGGGGTGTGAGGCTGGGGATGGTGGACCAAGAGGTCTCAGAGGTCAGGGCAGATCAACATCACCCGGGACCCCTGGATGTCCACCCAGGGCACCCACCTCCCCTTCACAGGACCTGACCCTCTGTGCCAGCCCCATAACCGAGAGCATCTCCTTACACACCAGTCTTGGAGTCTGTCTTGTTTTGCGATGGGCTGAGGGTCTCAGCTGCTCCTGAGAATCAACCAAAAAAGGGGGAGGTGTGTGAGGAGTTGAAGAGACTTAAGCCAACATGTCCCTCAGTTGCTGCATTCCTTTGTGTCTACACTTCTCCTAACTGCTCTGTAGTTGTGTGATAGAACCTTTCCCTGCTGTGGCAGAGGTACATTCGCATACATACATACATATATGCATAGGTGTAAATATGTGTGTATACATAATATGTGTTATGCATATGTGTATACATAATATGTATTATGCATATGTGTATGCATAATATGTATTATAAGATATAGTGTGAGTATATATAAATATATAATATATAAGATATATAATAGTGTGTGTATACATATAAATATATAATAAGATATGTAATAGTGTGTACATATATAAATATATAATATATAATAAGATATATAATAGTGTGTATATATAAATATATAATACATAATATATTATAAGATATATAATAGTATGTATATATAAATATATAATACATAATATATAAGATATATAATAGTGTGTGTATATATAAATATATAATACATTATATATTATAAGATATATAATAGTATATATAAATATATAGTACATAATATATAATAAGATATATAATAGTGTGTGTATACATATAAATATATAATAAGATATGTAATAGTGTGTGCATATATAAATATATAATATATAATAAGATATATAATAGTGTATATATATAAATATATAATACATAATATATTATAAGATATATAATAGTATGTATATATAAATATATAATACATAATATATAAGATATATAATAGTGTGTGTATATATAAATATATAATACATTATATATTATAAGATATATAATAGTATATATAAATATATAGTACATAATATATAATAAGATATATAATAGTGTGTGTATATATAAATATATAATACATAATATATATTATAAGATATAATAATGTGTGGGTAATATAAATATATAATACATAACATATAAGATATATAATAGTGCATATATAAATATATAATACATAATATATATTATAAGATATAATAATGTGTGGGTATATATAAATATATAATACATAATATATATTATAAGATATAATAATGTGTGGGTATATATAAATATATAATACATAATATATAAGATATATAATAGTGTATATATAAATATATAATACATAATATATATTATAAGATATATAATAGTGTGTGAGTATATATAAACACATACATATATATTTGAAGTGAGAAGAGTATTATATAATTTAGAAACAAACAAGTTTGTCCTCCATTTTCTTGTGGTTAATGTAATTATTATCAATAAATCAGAAGAGATCATTTCGGAAAGGATTGAAAGGGAGTGTGTCTGTGGTAAGTTAATAGGAACTAAAATTAGCATACCCAAACCAATAGCTTTCTCATCCATACGTAACTAATTTTAGAAAATAGAAAGGAATCAAAGACTTTCAAATTATTCAAGTAGTAAAACAATGCTTAAAATTCACAATGTCCACAATTTTTATGAATACAACTTCAAGCATCTGCTAACTGTATAAAGTTTAATTTTAAATGTATTGGATAAAAAGACATTATTAATGAGAAGTTATTCTCCATCATGAATGCACATATTTAATTTAATCCCAAAGAAAATCAGAGCACAGTTATTTTACATCATAACGCTACCTAACAAATTAAATGTGTAAATTATAAATGCCAGCATTGCTTTGAAATCTTCAGAAACAGAAAGAGAAACTAGATATGTGGACATAAAAAATAAAGGACAGAAAGGAATTGCACACGAGGTTTGCTGTTGAATAATTTGCCTGCATTGCTGCAGTGAGCAGGTGCATGATCTCCCCTTCGTCTCAGGTATGCACTGAGTATTTTGGGGCCGCCAGGGGAGCCCAGGTGGGGAGTGGGTGGCGCCTCCATCTTCTACCCTCAGCCTAAGCATGATTCCTCCAAGGTTTCTCCATATCTCATTTCAGCCCTCCCTGGCCTTTAGCCCCATCTGAGGTCTCTGGGGTGGGAGCCCAGGATTAGGAGGTCCCTGACTATTTCCACCCTCTCATGGGCTGGGCCCTCCCCTGCCGACCCTCCCCCTTTACTCCCCTCTTTCCTTAGCGTCCTGAGCTCTCCTGGGGGCAGGGCCTGAGCTGAGGTTTGAGCTCAGAGAGGACAGGGTCAGCGGCCTCACCTGAGACCACGAGCTCCAGGGGGTCACTGGGGTGAGACAGCAGGTAGGGGAAGAATCTGCGTGAGCTGTAGCACCTGTAGGTCCCCGCGTGGGCTGAGGTCACAGGACTCATGGGGAATTCAGCCTGGTGCTGCTGAGCTTGGTGCTCTGATCTCAGACGCAGTGGGTGATGGGCTGCCCCCTCCTTGGTCAGAAGGAAAGTGTCCAACTGCTCCCGTGACTGACACAGCAGGGTCACGTTCTCTCCTGAGGCCACCGTGGGGCCCGGCTGCACCGAGAGGGAGGGTCTGCCACGGATCTGTCCTGGAGAGAAGAAGGATGGGTGAGGGGCTGCCCCACCTCGTTCTGAGCTGACACCTCCCCAGGCCTCTCTCTGGGACCCTCAGTCTCTGTCTCTGTTTTCTCTGAGTCTCCCTCTACCCACCCATCCCCTGTCTCTGTCTGTCTCTCCCTCCCTTGGGACCCCCACCCCTCATCCTGGCCATCACCACCTGGGCTCCCCCAGCAGGGCCTGTGCGGAGCGTGGGTCCCTGACTGAACCTGCTGGGCTCCTCACCTGCGATCAGGATGCTCAGGGGGTCACTGGGGGCCGACCACTCGGAGGAGAGGTTGTGTGCACCGTAGCATCTGTACTGGCCCCCGTGGGAGACCCTCACAGGGCCCAGGGTGAAGTTGGCCTGGGAGAGCCCAGCCTGGGGCTGCCGGCCAGAGCCCTGGACGAGGTCATGTCCCCCCTCCTTGTACAGAGTGAATTTGTCATAGCCGACATCAGAGCCACACTGGAGGGTCAGATTCTCCCCAGGGGCCACGACAGGGCCCTGCAGGGTCAGGAGGGAGGGCTTCCTAGACACGCCTGGAGGGAAAGAAGAGTCGGGACTAGGAGGGCTGGTTCCTCCCACACCCCTTCCTTCTCCCCTCCTGGCCCTGCAGGTCTCACTGTCTCTCATACTCAGTGTCTCTGGGCTCAGGAGTCCCAAACTTCCCTTGTTCCACCCTCCTACATGGGGCTCCGTGAGAGTAAGTTCTCAAAAATAAATAGGGCAAGGAGGAAGACATCCATACCTAAGACCAGGATCTCCATGGTATCACTGGGTTCCGACCACACCCAGGGGAAGTTCGTGTAATGCCCATAGCATCTGAACATCCACCGGTGACTGGCAGCCACACGGCCCACAGGGAACAGGGCCAGGGACAAGGGACAGCCCCTTGGAGAGTTCCTGTGAGTCCAGCATCCAGGAGAGCTTGTTTTCTCCTTCCTCAATCAAAATGAACCTGTGAAATCCCACCCTTGAGCTACACTGGATGGTCACGTTCTCTCCTGAGGTCACCACAGGGCTCGGCAGGGCTGAGAGAGTGGGTTTTCTGTGGGCTCCTAGGAGAGAAGGAGACACTGTCTTAAATGGGGCTCACGCGTCCCACATCATCCCCCAGGGCTGAGTTATTAGAACGGAGATGCCCTTGAGAGCCGACCCCCTTCCTGCAGGCAGAGCCTGGGGCTGGGACCCCTGAGTGTCCTCTTACCTGTCACCACCAGCTCCAGGGGCTCGCTGCGCTCTGACCAGCCTGCAGGGCTGAGATAGTGACAGTGGTATCTCCCTGCATGGTGCT
>NT_187619.1:0-43156 GCF_000001405.40 Homo sapiens | reverse complement strand
GACCCAAATCCTCATATTCATGCCAGATCCTACCTTCTCAGACATGGAGAGACCCAGAAACTCATACCTGTATTAGATTCCTACCTCCTCAGATATTGAAAGACTCAGATCCTCATACCAGGGCCAGATCCTACCTTCTCAGATATTGAAAGATCCAGATCCTCCCTCCTCAGATATGGACAGACCCAGATCCTCATAGTCATGCCAGATCCTACCTCCTCAGATATTGAAAGACTCAGATCCTCATACCAGGGCCAGATCCTACCTTCTCAGATATTGAAAGACCCAGATCCTCCCTCCTCAGATATGGACAGACCCAGATCCTCATAGTCATGCCAGATCCTACCTCCTCAGACATGGACAGGCCTGGATCCTCACACTTTTACCAGATCCTACCTGCTCAGACAGAGAGAGACCCAGATCTTCACACTTGTACCAAATCCTACCTCCTCAGAATTGACAGACTCACATCCTCATACCAGCGCCAGATCCTACCTCCTCAGACACTGACAGATCCAGATCCTTATACCGGCACCCAGATCCTACCTCCTCAGATACTGACAGTCCCAGATCCTCATAATCCTCCTATCAGGGCCAGATCCTACTGTCTGAGACATGAACAACCCAGAGCCTCATAAGGGGGCCAGATCCTACCTCCTCAGACACTGACAAAACAGATCCTCAGACCTGTACCCGCACCCAGATCTTACCTCCTCAGATACTGACAGACCCAAATCCTCATAAGCCTCATACCAGGGCCAGATCCTACCTTCTCAGACATGGTCAGACCCAGATCCTCATACCAGGGCCAGATCCTACCTCCTCAGACACTGGCAGACCCAGATCTTCATACCTGTACCAGATTCCTACCTCCTCAGATACAGACAGACCCAGATCTTCACACTTGTACCAGATCCTACCTCCTTGGACATAGACAGACCCAGATCCTCATACCTGTACCAGATTCATACCTCCTCAGATACTGACAGACCCAGATCCTCATACCTGTACCAGATCCTACTTCCTCAGACATGGAGAGACCCAGATCCTCATACCTGCACCAGATCCTACCTCTGCAAACATGGACAGACCCAGATGCTCATACTCATGCCAGATCCTACCTCCTCAGACAGAGGCAGATCCAGATCCTACCTCCTCAGACATGGGGAGACACAGATCCTCATACCAGGGCCAGATCTTATCTCTTCACACATTGACAGACCCAGATCTTCATGCCTGTAACAGATTCCTACCTTCTCAGACATGGAGAGACCCAGATACTCATACCTGTACCAGATCCCTACCACCTCAGATATTGAAAGCCTCAGATCCTCATACCAGGCCAGATCCTACCTTCTCAGACATTGAAAGACCCAGATCCTTATACCTGCGCCAGATCCTACCTCCTCAGACATAGAGAGACCCAGATCCTCACACCTGTACCAGATCCTACCTCCTCAGACACTGACAGACTCAGATCCTCATACCAGCACCAGATCCTACCTCCTCAGACACTGACAGACTCGATCCTCATACCGGCACCAGATCCTACCTCCTCAGATACTGACAGATCCAGATCCTCATAATCCTCCTATCAGGGCCAGATCCTACCTTCTCAGACATGGGCAACCCAGAGCCTCATATGGGGGCCAGATCCTACCTCCTCAGACACTGACAGACCCAGATCCTCATACCTGTACCTGCACCCAGATCCTAACTCCTCAGATACTGACAGACCTAAATCCTCATAAGCCTCATACCAGGGCTAGATCCTACCTTCTCAGACATGGACAGACCCAGATCCTCAAACCAGGGCTAGATCCTACCTCCTCGCATATTGACAGACCCAGATCCTCATACCTGTACCAGATCCTATTTCCTCAGACATGGAAAGACCCAGATCCTTATACCTGCACCAGATCCTACCTCTGCAGACATGGACAGACCCAGGTCCTCATATTCATGCAAGAGCCTACCTCCTCAGACACGGACAGACCCAGATCCTACCTCCTCAGACATGGGGAGACCTCGATCCTACCTCCTCAGACATGGACAGACCCAGACCTTACCTCCTCAGGCATGGAGAGACCCAGATCCTCATACTTGTACAATTCCAACCTCCTCAGACATTGACAGACCCAGATCCTCATACCAGGGCCAGGTCCTACCTCCTCAGACATTGACAGATGCAGATCTTCATACCTGTACCAGATTCCTACCTCTTCAGATATTGACAGACCCAGATCGTCATATTCATGCCAGATCCTACCTCCTCAGACATGGACAGACCCAGATCCTACCTCCTCAGATATGGAAAGACCCAGATCCTCATACTTGTACGATTCCTAACTCCTCAGACATTGACAGACCCAGATCCTCATACCAGGGCCAGGTCCTACCTCCTCAGACATTGACAGATGCAGATCCCATACCTGTACCGGATTCCTACCTCTTCAGATATTGACAGACCCAGATCCTCACACCAGGGCCAGATCCCACCTCCTAGGACACTGGAAGACACAGATCATCATACCAGGGCCAGATCACACCTCCTCAGATATTGACCGACCCAGATCCTTATACCTGCACCAGATCCTACCTCCTCAGGCATTGACAGATCCAGATCCTTATACTTGTGCCAGATCCTACCTCCTTAGACATGGACAGACCCAGATCCTCATACCAGGACCCGATCCCACCTCCTCAGATACTGATGGACACAGATCCTCATACTTGTACCCAGCCTCACTTCCCCAGACACTAGAAGACTCAGGGCTTCATACCTGTGCCAGATGCTATCTCCTCAGGCACTGGAAGCCCAAGGGCCTCAAACCTGAGTCCAAACTCACCTCCTCAAACACTGGAAGACGCAGATCCTCATATCTGTGCCAGGTGCTACCTCCTCAGACATGGAAGACCCATATCCTCATACCTGTGCCAGGTGCTACCTACTCAGACACGGGAAGACCCAGATCCTCATACCTGTGCCAGGTGCTACCTCCTCAGACACAGGAAGACCCAGATCCTCATACCTGTGCCAGGTGCTACCTCCTCAGACACGGGAAGACCCAGATACTCATACCTGTGCCAGGTGCTACCTCCTCAGACACTGGAAGACCCAGATTCTCATACCTGTGCCAGGTGCTACCTCCTCAGATATGGAAGACCCATATCCTCATACCTGTGCCAGATGCTACCTCCTCAAACATTGGGAAGACCCAGATCCTCATACCTGTGCCAGGTGCTACCTTCTCAGACACAGGAAGACCCAGATTTCATACCTGTACTAGATGTTACCTCCTCAGACACCAGCAGACCCAGGGCCTCATACCTGTAACCTGCTGTTATCTCCTCAGACACCAGCAGACCCAGGGCCTCATACTTGTACCAGATCCTACCTCCTCACACACTGGAAGACCCAGATGTCATACCTGTACTTAGCCCACCTCCTTGGATACCTCTTCCAGCACCACATACCTGTACCAGGCCCTACTTCCATAGACACTTGCAGACCCAGAGCCCCTTACCGGTGCCAGGACCCACCTTCTCAGTCTCATACTTGTGCCCAGGTATGCTTCCTTGGACAATGAAAGACCCAGCAGCTCTCTGCTACACTTGGCTAGGTCTCCTCAGATATTAAAAACCCACAGCTACATTTCTGTTCCCCAGCCCACCTGCTTGAACAGTGGCCCAGTGCCTCATACTTGTGCCAGGCCCCACATCCTCAGATACTGACAAACCCAGATCCTCACACCTGTGCCATTCTTTGTTGAACAATGAAGACTCATCACTTTGTACCTGTGCCCATTCCCAACTCCTCAGGTGGTACTGACAGATCCAGAACCTTAGACCTGTGCCTCACCCCACCTCCTGGACACTGACAGGCCCAGTGGGTCATATCTGGGCTTGACCGATCTTCTCGGCCTATCACCTAGGCCTATCATTCACACTGCACCTTCTCAAGCCACACCTGCAAGCTCCACTTGGTGCCATCAGAGTCCTCAGAACTTCACGGATGTCTTCCTAACAGCTGTTTATGGAGCACCTCCCACATTTCTAGCACAGGCAACGGACACAGAGTGTGGGAGAGAGACGTACATCAAATAATCATGCCAATAAATGTGAAACTGAGAAACAAGTGCTGAGGAGAAATTGGAACATGGTGCTGAGGCCACTTATAAAAGGAACCTGAGGGGTACTTGACCCTTGATCTCAAGAACGAGCAGGCATGACCCAGAGAAGCACTGAGGGAGCATTCCAGCAGCCATAACAGCACATGCAAAGGTCCCGTGGCCAAAGCAGTCTTTCTCAAGCGTGACAGAATTAAGGCCCACAGAAAATGATCTGAGTGACTTCTCAGTTCTCCCAAGGATGGTCCAAGACTAGTAACCTTCTAGACACGAAGGAGAGGTGCCCACTTATTACATCCAGTAGATGCCTTGGGCTGTGAGGGCTTAATTCTCTCCTGGAAGCCCACTGAGGCAGGGGGAAGCATAGCACCTTCCAGAGGATAAAGGAAGGGGTGGGGACCGCAGGGTGGAAGCTGAGAGGCACGGTGGGAGGACTGAGAACAGTCTGCGGCTAAGACAAGGACAGAAGCAAACAAGCCACTTTGAAGCCCCGGAGATGGACTGGGGAGTGCAGAGGACTCATTCTGGGAGCTCTCCAGTGTGGCCGAGAGGTTTCTGGCTTGGGCAATGAGATGACCGGTGGGGCCACTCACTTGGAAAGGCTCTGGGTTTCCGGGAACCTTACCTGACAGACGCAGTCCTACAGACTACATCATGCTTGACATAGGCTCTCACATCTCATCTAACAGATGCAGTTCTATTTTTTTCTTTTTTTTTTAAGAGACAGGGTCTTGCTCTGTTGCCCAGGTGGAGTGCAGTGGCATGATCACAGCTCACCGCAGCCTCAAACTCCTGGGCTCAAGTGATCCTCCCATCTCAGCCTCCCCAGTAGCTGGGACTACAGGCACACACCACCATGCTTGACTATTTTTTAAATTTTTTGTAGAGATGGGGTCTTGCTCTGTTGTCCAGGCAGGTTTTGAACACCTGGCCTCAGCCTCCCATCTCAGCCTCCCGAAGCTCAGGGATTACAGCCATGAGCCACCACACCCAGCCCAGACTCAGCTCTAGAAACTAAACTTCAGCACACAGCCAGCCCTCTGGCTGACAGAGTCCAGGCTGCTCACCTTGGCCGAGAACAGGTCCTCAGATCCCAGTTTTGTGACAGCCCAGCAATGCCAAGCAGTGTCTGACCTGAGCCTCCGAACCCTCAATCTGCAGACATGGGTCTCTAGACCTCACCTTTAAGTGCAGTGGCCTCTGAGACCATACATTATAGATGCAGCTCCTCAGTCAGTTCAATGTCCTGGGCCTAACCTGCCCCAGTGCCCCAGATCTCACCTTATCTAACCATCATCTACCTTTTTCCTCACTTTACTCACTTTCTTTTTTTTTTGAGACAGGGTCTCTCACTCTGTCGCCCAGGCCTGAGTGTAGTGGCATGATCTCAGCTCACTGCAACCTCTGCCTGCCAGGTTCAAGCAATTCTCCTGCCTCAGCCTCCTGAGTAACTGGGATTACAGACATGTGCCACCATGCATGGCTAATTTTTGTATTTTTAGGAGATGGGGTTTCACCGTGTTGACCAGACTGGTCTCAAACTCCTGACCTCAAGTGATCCACCCACCTCGGCCTCCCAAAGTGCTGGGATGACAGGCGTGAGCCACTGCGCCTGGCAACTTTCCTCACTTTTAACTCAGACCCTGTGTCAACTGGAGCACAATGCCATCTTGGATGCAGACCAACACCATGGACTGGTTACAGATCCTCAGCCCTCTGTATTACCCTGAGCTCTGTCTATCATACCTGACCAGGGTGCTGAGAACAGATACCTGTCCCAGCTGATCTTTAGGGTTCCCTAGACATCACCAGGCAGACCCAGGTACAAACACCTACAATGACTACGGCTTTCCCTTGATATAAGAGCCCACACTACTCACCTAATTGTGTCTGACCCTACCACCGAAGGTCTCACCTGTGTCTGACCCACCTTCCCCAGGCCTGGCCAGCCTCACCATTATGCATTCCTGTGCTAGACCCCACCCACTTCACCTAACAAGCCCAGCAGTACTTTTGTGCTTGAACCCAGGTGTCAAGAACCCACCTGAGACCATGTTTATACAACCTCTGTGGAACTGAGCCTGGATCCACAGACTCACTGCTAATGTCAGGTCAACATACCAGCACTGAGCCTGAATCCACAGACTCAGTGCCAGTGCTAGGTCAACATACCAGCACTGAGCCTGGATCCACAGACTCACTGACAACACCAGGTCAACATACCAGCACTGAGCCTGGATCCATGGACTCACTGCCAATGTCAGCTAAACATACCAGCACTGACCCTGGATCCACAGACTCACTGACAACACCAGGTCAACATGCCAGCACTGAGCCTGGATCCACAGACTCACGACAACACCAGGTAAACATACCACCATTGAGCCTGGATCCGTAGACTCACTGACACAACCAAGTAAATATACCAGCACTGAGCCTGGATCCACAGACTCACTGACATAATCAGGTAAACATACCAGCACTGAGCCTGCATCGGCAGACTCACTGACAACACCAGATAAACATACCAGCACTGAGCATCGATGCAATGGTTTCACCTGGGAGACCTAGTTCTGCCTATTTGTGTCCAACTCCAGTGCCTCAGGCTACAGAGTTATATACCTGTCAAAGATGGGTTCCAGACATCTCAGCTGATAGACCAGGCTTCACATAACCTGACCCCTCACACCTTGACTGACAGACCCGGTTCCCTTGCCTAAGCCCAACTCAGATTCCTTACAGCCTCCCAGGGTCCAGCTTTATTTATGTGAGCCTGGCCTCGGCAGTCCACATCCTGTGTCTGGCTTGGCTTTTCATGTCTCACAGACAGATCCAATGCTGCCAATCTCTGCTTAACGTCAGCACCAATGAGCTCACTGAGGAGCCTCAGACCTCATCAAATGGAACATCTCTGCCTACCTGTGCTCCCCAGCTGAGATGCGTAGTTCTACCAACTTGTGACTAACCCACTGTCCCCAGGCCTAAGACTGAGTCAGCACAACTAAGCCAGAACCACGCACCAATGACCTCACCTGCAAGACCCCAGCTGTATGTCTCTCTAGCTACAAAGTCCTTGCTTGAGAGAGATACATCTACCTACCCACGTCTAACTTAGGGGCCACAGACCTCCTAGGAAACCCACAATGTTCTGCCTGCCTGTAGAGACCCCCATGCTATGGGGTTGACCTGGGAGGCCGCTCTATACACCTAGGCTCAACTCTGGTTCTTCAGGCTTCACCTCAAACACCCAGGGGCACATTCCTGTGCCTGAATCCAACTCCTGAAAGAGCCAACTCTATCTACCTGCATTCAACCTAACTCCTCAGCTCTCCTTCAAGAGACTACTCCTGGCAGACCAGTTTTGTCTACCTGCCTGACCCTGGCTCCTCAGACCACACATGGTGGGCCAGCTCTGCCTACCTGTGCTTGACCCTGGGTTCTCAGACCACACCTGAAAGGCTATCTCTACCTACCTGTGCTTGAACCTGGGTTCTCAGACCACACGTGAAAGGCTATCTCTACCTACCTGTGCTTGAACCTGGGTTCTCAGACCACACCTGAAAGGCTATCTCTACATACCTGTGCTTGACCCTGGGTTCTCAGACCACACCTGAAAGGCTATCTCTACCTACCTGAGCTTTTCGCTGGGTTCTCAGACCACACCTAGTGACCCAGACTACCTACCTGTACTTGATCCTGGCTCTTCAGACCATACCTGGCAGGCAGCTCTACCTACCTGAGTCTGACCCTGGCTCCTCAGACCATACCTGGTGGGCCAGCTTTGCCTACCTGTGCTTACCCTGGCTCCTCAAACCACACCCAGTGGGCCAGCTCTACCTACCTGTAGTTGACCTTGGCTCCTTAAACCACACCTGAAAGACTATCTCTACCTACCTGTGTTTGACTCTGGCTCTTTGGAGTACACCTGGCATGCCAGATCTACCTACCTGAGCCTGATGTTGGCTCTTCAGATCATACTTGGTGGGCCAAGTCTGCCTACCTGTGCTCAATGCTGGCTCCTGGGCTTGTGCCTGGTGGACCAGCACCCCCTACCTGCATGTGATGAGGGTTCCTGAGCTTGTACCTTGTGGGCCAGCTCTGCCTACCTCTACTTCACACCTCAGCTGCTTACACCTCATCCAACACACTTGGTTCTTCTTACCTGGGCTTGACTATGACTTTTTAGGTCTCATGAACACACTCAGCTTTGTGAAGCTGCCCTGATCCTGGCTCCAAAGACCTTACCTGCCAAACCCTGTTCTACACACCTGTGTTTAACTCCCGTTCTTCAGACCTGATAGACCCGAAGATGTACCTGGGCCAGGCTCCAAAGACCTCACCCAAGAAACTCAATTCCACATACCTACATACCTGTACCTGGCCACAGCTCCTCAACCTCACCCAGGAGAAGAACTTCTACCCACCCATCTTTTTTCTTTTTTTTTTTTTTTTGTTTTTTGTTTGAGACAAAGTTTCACTCTTGTTGCCCAAGTTGAAGTGCAGTGGCATGATCTCGGCTCACTGCAAACCCCACCTCCCGGGTTCAAGCAATTCTCCTGCCTCAGCCTCCTGAGTAGCTGGGATTACAGGCGTGTGCCACCACACCCAGCTAATTTTTGTATTTTTTAGTAGAAATGGGGTTTCACCCCGTCACCATGTTGGCCAGGCTGGTCTTGAACTCCTGACCTCAGATGATCCACCCACCTTGGCCTCCCAAAGTGCTGGGATTACAGGCATGAGCCACCACACCCAACCCCCGCTTTTTTTTTTTTTTTTTTTTGGAGATAGTCTCACTGTCACCCAGGCTGGAGTGCAGTAGCACGATCTTGGCTCACTCTGCCTCCCCAGTTCAAGCAATTCTGGTGCCTCAGCCTCCCAAGTAGCTAGGACTGTAGGCATGCACCACCATGCCTGGCTAATTTTTGTAGTTTTAGTAGAGACGGGGTTTCGCTATGCTGGCCAGGCTGGTCTCGAGCTCTTGACTTCAACTGATCTGCCTGCCTTGGCCTTCCAAAGTGCTGGGATTATAGGTGTGAGCCACTGTGCCTGGCCTACCCATCTGTCTTGACACCACCTGGGAAATCCAGACCTGCTCACTGTGCCAGATCCCAGCTCCTCAGACCTCCTGAGAGACCTGGCTCTATCCACCTGCCTTCACTTCATATCCTCAGAGGTCATCTACCACATCCAGGTCTTTCTAGATGAGCCTAATCCGGACTCCTTGGGCCTCACCTGATAGATCCGTTCTACCTGTGCCTGACCTCAACTGCAGGACAGTTTAATTGGTTTGACCATGGCTGTTCCGGTCAACCTATCTTTGCATGCTCCTGGTTTCATAGATGTCACCTGACAAACTCTACCCACCATGCTTAACACAGCTTCTCGGTCTTGGGATACAAACCAGAGCCTGACCTCAGTGGCTCAGACCTTAACCTGTGAGACCCAAAAATACATACCTGTGTCTCACCTTAACCCCTGAAACCTCGCCTGCTAGATCTGCTCTACGTACCTCGACCAGACCCAGGCTTCATCCACCTTTCTGATGGATGCGGTTCGTCATCCCTTTGTCTGACCCCATCCCTTTGTCTGGTCTCTTCCCAGGGGACCCAGGCTCACCCACCAGAGCTGCTCAGACATCGCCCAAGGACACAGCTCCAACCTGGACCCAATCACAGATTTTCAGCCCTCACTTGTCAGACCCAGCTCGACCTGTCTGCCTATCTTTAGCTCCAACGTCCTTACCAGACTGGTCCAGTTCTGCCTACCTGAGTACAGTCTTGGCTCCTCAGGCCTCCCCTAGAAACCCAGCCATACAAACCTGTCTGATTCCAGCTCCTAGGACCTCAGACAGACGCGGCTCTGAAAGGCTGCATTATACACACCTAACCTGAACAGACACTTTCCTCACACATGACAGATCCCTGGCTGCTCACCTCGGCCTGAGGGAGCCTGGTGAGAGCCCAGTGTTGACAAACACTGTCTGACTGGCTCAGCCTTGATGTCTGCCCTGTAGACCCAGGTCTCTGGCCCTTTACCCAACCTGAGCCACTCAGACCGCACCCACCCAGCACAGCTCCTCATGCCACCTGCCTGCCTCACCTGCCCCAGCTCCCCTGTCCTTGCCTCATATCACCAGGTACATTCCTACCTCTCCCGCATCTGGGCTCTGCAGACCCTGATGCCACAGACTTGGACTTCAGTCACAAATTCTCAGAGGCCTCTGACGCCCTGAGCTCTGCCCATCACACCCAGTCAGGATGCTGAGAAGCAGGTGCTGACCTGTGTGTCCCTAATCCTGGGTTCTAAACTTGTGCAATCAGCCACCCACTACCTGATCCTCACTTTTCGGAACCGGCCAGAGATCCCAGCGTGCACACCTGTCCCATGCCATAGGTCTACACCACCTCCCACAGAGCCCGGCTGACATATGCACATACATAGCTTTGGCTCCTCAGACTTCACCTGACAGAACCACCTCTAAATACCTGCCTCTCCTCTGGAATTCACAGACCTATGGGTCCCTCTCCTGTCCTGGCTCCTCTTCAGAACTCACCTGGACCTGCTCTGGCTCTGCTTCAGGCCTCTCCAGCCAAAACTGGCCCTGTGGCGTGCGCTGACCCTGGCCGAGCCCTGAGAGACCCCATGGTTTCCCACCACACCCCTGCCTGATCCCGACACCCATGGCTGCCGCAAAACTGGCCCTGGCGGACCAAGAATTACCTCTTCTACATACCCCTACCAGACGGGACTCTTCTGATCTCACCTGAGGGCCGGCACTGCATCCCTAGGCCTGAGCTGATGGCTGTAGCTCACCCGAGACCCCACCTGCAGGAACTTCGCCTGCTCCTATCCCTGGGTTCTTCAGATATCACCTTCTTGATTCAGCAGGATACACTCTAGTAACTCAGGCAGGTCCCTCCTCCAGCCGTTGTGGGCTGTCTAGCCTGGCCCAGGAGGCCTCCACTTAGGTCTCACCAGCCAGCCCTGGCCCCATGTTCCTGTGTCCAGCTATCATTCCTAGGCCTTACCTGGGAGGCCAGACCCATCCTCTCCTTAAGCCACACCCTAACTCATCTCTACATGCTGGGTGGTGACAAGCAAGGACACCCCGATCTGCTTGGCTCCTTGGCTGGCAGCAGCACCCACACATCCCTGCCCACCACCTGCTCAGGCTCCAGATCCCAAGGAGGAGGTGGAAGGTGCCTGCCCTCCATTATCAGGCATGCAACATTTATTAGAAGCCGCACAGTCTCTCTTGACCAGTGTTCCGCATCTGAGCCACAGGATGCAGAAAATGACTTGAGTGATTCTCGTCAATTCTTCCAAGGATGGTATGTAACTAGTCTCATTCTAGAAAGAAGTTAACTCATTATACACAGTGGATGGCTTAAGGGATTAGGGCTTCATTCTCTCCCAGACCCTGGTAGTAAAAGGCCTTTAGAGCTTTCAAAGGAATGAGGTTATGTCTGTGGATGCCATCACCAAGCAAAGGGCCTCTGGTCCAAATGCCTGGAGACAGCCCCAGGTGGGAAAACCACCAAATGGGCAATGCCCTCTCTGCTGCGCCTGCCACAGCGTTAGAGCCCTGCACGTAAGCCCGGCCATGCCCACAGCATTCACAGTGCCTGCATCACACCCTGCACTGCACCCCTGCACCCTGGGCTTCACAGTCAGAGCCCTCCTCACACCACTGCTGAGCTCAGGCAAGTGCACAAGGAAAGCTGTGGCTCACTGCTCGGCTCCAGCAGAGGTGGTCCCATGGACCACCTGTTGCTACAGAGGGGTCGGCAGCCCTGTCACTCAAGGCAGGGTTTGCTCTGCAAGCTGCCCCAGCCTGGCGCCTCCTCTACGCCACCCCCCCAGCTCCTCCTGCAGCTCCTGTTGCTCCTTTCCAGGCCTACCCGGTCATACCTCATGCCTCACCCTGCCCTTGGCCTTTACAGATGGTGGCTGCAGTTCAGAGAAAGGTCATCACTGAGAATAACTCACAACCTCAACTCTGTGAGCGTGGCAAGGGGGACTCGGGTTACCCCACAGTGGGTGTTGCAGGCAGGCACCCAAGGGAGTGTCATGTGGCCCTGCAAGCTCAGCCCGCCCTCAGGTGGAAGTGGAGCCCTCATCCTGCCTGGGTTGCTCTTGCCCTCCAAGCCTCTCTGAGGGCCTCTCTACCTTTCCCCAAGCTAGGTATGCAGCAGGTACTCAATAAACACTGACCTGACCTCATGGGCCTCTCAACAGCCATGACTTGGCAAAGGACACTTAATTCACCCAGTGCAGAAGTGCTTGTACTTACATCCCAGAACTCGAACATGTTTTGAGGGTCAATTCCAAACTCCTTCACTTTGGTCTACAAAAAAAAAAACAAAGGGAGAGAAATGCAAAGAAGCATTTGCTAGCGGGATGGGAACAGGAGCTCCGGGAGGCAGGGAGCTGTGCTCCGTGAGCTGAGCCTCACCTTCCCCAGAGCCAGGGATGGGGCAGGGCTGGAGCAGCCTGTGAGTCGAGGGCAGGGCCCAGGATCTGCCCACCCCAAGCTGGACACCAGATCAGTCCATGACCAGCACGCCAGTGACGTTGTGCCTGCAAAGCCCCCTGCTGAGGGCAGCTGTAACCCCGTGTGAGGACCTGGCCCACACACTGCTCTGCAACAGCTCTCACCCAGGCCTGCCTGGGACACCAGAGCATGATACCCCTGGACATCTGGGAACCGAACCTAGGACTGGGACCCAAGTGTGGGCAGGGGCCACCTACCAGGCCAGGCAAACAAACACAGGCTGAACAGCCACCCAGCCCTTCCCATGTGTGGGAGGGTGACTGCACCAGGAAGCTCTGAGGAGCCATCAGGTATTCTGGTCCCCAGGGCAGACAGGGCCAGCAACTCCTTACCTATTCCACATAGGAGGAGAAGCCCTACTGACCAGTCAGTTGCAGGCAGGCAACAGTGCTATGGTTAGCCAGCCTTATGGCGTCCTGCTGCAGCTGGGTAGGCACTGGAGGCAGAGATGTGGGGATGATGGTGGAGGGGGTGGGAGGGAGATGTGGGTGTAGTCCCCAGCTCTGACACAGCACAGTGCCCACTGGCTGACTGCTGCTGTCACTCCTGGAGCATCCCTCACTCTGTCATGCCCTGCTGAGCCTGCACAACCTCGAGGCCAGGCAGACTGTGAGAACTTGGAGACAGGAGACCCAGGTTCTAATCCTGGCATCACCTACTCATACAGTCACTAAGTGGGCCGGGTACAGTGGCTCATGCCTATAATCCCAACACTTTGGTAGGCCGAGGTGGGCAGATCACTTGAGGTCAAGAATTCGAGACCAGCCTGGCCACCATGGAGAAAACCTGTCTCTACCAAAAATACAAAAATTACCTGGACGTGGTAGTGGGCGCCTGTAATCCCAGAATCAGCAGGCTGAGGCATAAAAATTACTTGAACCCAGAAGGCAGAGGTTGCAGTGAGCCAAGATCGCACCACTGCACTCTAGCCTGAGTGACAGAGTGACCTTGTCTCAAAAAATAAGCTGGACATGGTGGCACACACCTGTAATCCCAGCACTTTGGGAGGCTGAGGTGGGCAGATCACTTAAGGTCAGGAGTCAGAGACCAGCCTGGCCAACGTGGTGAAACCCCGTCTCTACTAAAAATACGAAAATAGCTGGGCATGGTGGCGTGCACCTGTAATCCCAGCTACTCGGGAGGCTAAGGCAGGAGAATCGCTTGAACCTGGAAGGCAGAGGTTGCAGTGAGCCAAGATCACGCCACTGCACTCCAGCCTGGGCAACAGAGTGAGACTGTCTTAAAAAAAAAAAAAAAAAAAAAAAAAAAAAAAAACCACACACACTAAGTAGGGGGCAAAATGTCACCTCCCTTCATTGGGGCTTTATGTCCTTAAGTGAAAAATGGAATGCATCCTCTACCCCTACCTAGCATGTCACATTTGGGGAGATGCTGGGCACAAAGGCCTAGGAAGGTCATGTGTATGAAGGGTTCTGTGTATCAGTCAGGCCTGGGAGACGGAAGAAGGGGTTATCGTGATCCCACTGACTCCAAGCCTCCCTCCTCAAAGCTGCAGAGGTTGAATGGGTAAATGCGGAAAAGGCAAGGAAGGCTTGCAGCCCACAGGCAACCAAACCTTCCATACCATCAGCCAAGCCAAGATCCACCAGACCTACGAACCGCGTCTCTGAGAGGCCATGACCTGGACATGCTGGGCACTCCCAGGAAGGCAGTACAGGGGACCACGGGGGCACTTACTGTGTTAGTAGACAGGGCAACAAAGTGCTTCGCCACTGCAGAAGGCTACAAGAGACAGAGCCAAGTTACCACAGCCAGCCCAGGGAGACAAAGGGTAGTCACTTCCCATCACTAGAGGAACCAAGGCCCTGCATGGGACTGAGATTCCCAGTCCTTGATTCTGAGACTGTTGGAGAAGGCCCACATCGAGGTCAAGGTCAAGAAAGCAGACAGGTCACAGGCCGCCTGCTCATCCCATCTTACAAGCATACGGGGCTCAGGGACGTCCCTCCCCTATAAAATAGGTGTGGCCAAGAGTTCCTGCAGCGCCAAGGGCCTGCAGAGAAAGGGCCATGCAAGGGCTGTCAGCCAGCGAGAGCAGGTTCTGTCACATCTGCAAGGCTGGGTCTGACAAAGCCAAGATGAACAATCATCTCATCTAGCAAAGGCAGGCACCGGCAAGGCCGCCTTCACTTCCAACTTCAGGAGAAACACGGCCAGACTTGGTCACTCAGGGGCCCACCCTGCTCTTCCCAGCCCAGAGGCTAACCACGAGGAAGGCCCTATAGCCCACTCACATCCTTGGCCGCCTGGAGAAACCACTCCTTCGCCGTCTCTGCATTCGTGATGGTCTCCTGGGTAGTAAAGGTCTGCAACCAAAGAGAACAGCAGTGGGCGCCCGAGCTTAGGGGTGGGTGCAGGCCTTGAGCCAGGGTTCAGCAGTAGAGGCCAAGGCAATGCCCAGCTGTCCCATGGAGCAGTATTTGCAGGTCAGTGACAGTGACGCCACATAACCTCCTGAGATTCCAGCTCTTTAAAACCAGAGGAGGGGGGACGGTAAACACACCCCCCAACCCTAAGCCTGCAGGTCAAAGGCCGCAGCTTCTCCCCTGAGGGGCTGCAGTCAACCTGAGGCTCTCTTCGGCCCAGGCTGGAAGGTATCTCAGAATTCAGATGGAATTCTTCATATTTTATGTACATTCATGTGAGTAAATAGAACATAAATAAAAACAAACAAAACCCCTCTATTATCAGGGCATGGCTCTGGGATCAGAAAGGAGCAAGCATGGCTGGGCATGGCGGCTCAAGACTGTAATCCCAGCACTTTGGGAGGCCAAGGGGGGGTGCATCACCTGAGGTCAGGAGTTCAAGACCAGCATGGCCAACATGGCAAAAGCCCATCTCTACTAAAAAATAATAATAATAAATAAATAAATAATAAAATTAGCCAGGCGTGGTGGTGTGTGCCTAGTCCCAGCTACTTGGGAGGCTGAGGCAGGAGAATCGCTTGAAACCTGGGAGACGGAGATTGCAGTGAGCCGAGATCACGCCACTACACTCCAGCCTGGGTGACAGAGCCAGACTCTGTCTCAAAAACAACAACAAGAAAAGGAGCAGGCATAAAGGACAGGTTTGTAAGAAAGTGGCGAGCAGTCCCAGGCTGAGCAGAGATGCCGCAAGGCGAGCGGGTGTGGTCAGGACACAAAGGTTCAAACTGATGTGTTCAGGATTTCATCAGTCAACCTTATTTGCTGCTAGGCATGGAAACAGTCTAGGGCAGCTGTACTGACCTGATCCACAAACCATGGTTCACTCGGAACCCACCAAAAGGGACCAATGGCCAGGGGGATGGCAAGACAGCTGTCCCTCCCCACCCCAACACACACAGGGCCAGGGGCCGGGCAGTTTTCGGCACTCATACCTTGGAGGCAATGATGAACAGGGAGGACTCGGGGTTCAGCTGGGCCAGGGTTTTGGCAATGTGAGTTCCATCAATGTTGGAGACATACCAGACGCGGGGACCTCCTGAAGAGTATGGCTTAAGGGCTTCAGTCACCATGAGGGGCCCCTGCGGGGAGACATAGCATCAGAGAATAAGAATTCAGGGCCCACGAAAAGTGGAGACAGCCAGGTCCCATCCCTGGAGAAAGTAAAGACCTGAGTGGGACCAACAGTGCCCAGACTCCCACCCTACCCCAAGGCAGTTTTCTCCTCACCAGGTCGGAGCCGCCAATGCCAATGTTGATGACGTCCGTGATGGTCTTGCCTGTGTACCCCTTCCAGTCACCGCTCCGGACACGCTGGCACAGGGGCGAAGATGCCATCAGCCCAAACCCCCAGGCATAATCCGCTGCTCAAAAACATCATTACTGCCGTGTCCTGGTACCTCAGTCCCAGCTTTCAGGCCCTCGCAGGTGCCTCTATTTTTTTGTTTTTAATTTACCATATATATATATATATATATATATATATATATATATATATATATATTTTTTTTTTTTTTTTTTTTTTTTTTTTTGAGATGAAGCCTTGCTCTGTTGCCCAGGCTGGAGTGCAGTGGCATGATCTCGGCTCCCTGCAATCTCTGCCTCCCAGGTTCACGTCATTCTCCTGCCTCAGCCTCCTGAGTAGCTGGGACTACAGGCGCCCGCCACCACACCCAGCTAGTTTTTTGTATTTTTAGTAGAGACAGGGTTTCACCGTGTTAGCCAGGATGGTCTCGATCTCCTGACCCTGTGATCTGCCCGCCTCAGCCTCCCAAAGTGCTGGGATTACTGGCTTGAGCCACCGCACCCAGCTATTTATTTTTAATTTTTTTTTTGAGACAGAGTCTCCACTTTCTGGGTTCTAACAATTCTCATGCCTCAGTCTCCTGAGTAGCTGGGACTACAAGCCTGCGCCACCAGCATGCCTAGCTAATTTTTTTGTATTTTTAGTAGGGACGAGGTTTTGCCATGTTGGCCAGGCTGGTCTCGAATTACTGGCCTCAAGTGATCTGCCCAGCTCGGCCTCCCAAAGTGCTGGAATTACAGGTGTGAGCCACCGCGCCTCGCTATTTACTTATTTTTAAAACTGTGCCTTAGGGGCCAGGCAGGGTGGCTCAAGGCTGAGACAGGAGGATTGCTTGAGTCCAGGAAGTTGAGGCTGCAGCAAGCCAAGATCGCAACACTGCACCTCCAGCCTAGGTGACAGAGGAAGACCCTGACTCCAAAAACAGAACAAAATGCTCTGCTTTAGTCTTTTTTTTTTTTTTTTTGAGACAGGGTCTCACTCCGTCGCCCAGGCTGGAGTACAACGGCACGATCTCAGCTCACTGCAGCCTCCGCCTCCAGGCTCCAGGGTTCAAGCAATTCTCCTGCCTCAGCCTCCCAAGTAGCTGGGATTACAGGCACCTGCCACCCTGCCCAGCTAATTTTTAGTATTTCCAGTAGAGATGGGGTTTCGCCGTGTTGGCCACGCTGGTCTCAAACTCCTGACCTCAGGTGATCCACCTGCCTCGGCCTCCCAAAGCGCTTGGATTACAGGCATGAGCCACCACGCAAAGCCTATTTTATTTTTTGTAGAGACAGCGTCTTGCTACGTTGCCCAGCCTGGTCTCTAACTCCTGGCCTCAAATAATCCTCCCATCTTGACCTCCCAAAGTGTTGGGATTACAGGCGTGAGCCACTACACAAGGCATAGGAGTCTCTGGAGACCACACTGGTCCCTGCCACACTCACCACCAACTAGACTCTTTCCTGGTTACAACAGTGAGACATCCCTACCTTACAGCGACACTGTCAGAATTTGCAAAACCAGGGATAACTCGGCAGAATCTGCTATGCCAGAGACCAAGAGATGTGAAATGTTGAAAACTGTGACTGGGCTATGCTGGGGAAAGGAGTATCAGACCCGCAGCCAGTCTCCAATCAGACACCAGTGATCCTTGCTTCCTGGAATTCATGCCTCTGCATAGCTTCCGCCTGTGCTGGGAGGGGTGACCTATGCACCCATCCAGAGACTGCAAAAAGGGGTGAAATGTGACTTCAGAAGTGAGTTCAGAGAACGTGCAGTTTCTGCTTTGCTCTCTTGGATGACTCGCTTTGGGGAAGCTGTCTATCATGTTGTGAAGACATTCAAACAGTTTCATAAAGAAGCCCACGCGGCAGCGAACTAAGGCCTTTTTCCAAAAGTCACAGCCAACTCGCTTCCTGTGTATGGGACACTTTAGAGGGGGGTCCTCCAAACCCATCAAAACTTCCGATAACTGGGGCGCTGGCCAACATGTTGACTACAGCCTTATGAGAGATCCCCAAACCAAGACCAACCAGCTAAGCCGCTCCCAAACTTCTGACCCACAGACACTGTGAGAGGTAATAAAAGTTTACTGCTAGGCCGGGCATGGTGGCTCACACCTGTAATCCTGGCACTTTGGGAGACCAAGGCAGGCAGATCACAAGGTCAGGAGTTCGAGACCAGCCTAGTCAACATGGTGAAACCCCGTCTCTGCTAAAAAAAAAAAATACAAAAATTATCCAGGCATGGTGGCGTGTGCCTGTAATCTCAGCTACTCGGGAGGCTGAGGCAGGAGAATTGCTTAAATCCAGGAGGCAGAGGTTGCAGTGAGTGGAGATCACGCCATTGCACTCTAGCCTGGGCGACAGAGCAAGACTCCGTCTTAAAAAAAAAAAAAAAAAGTGTATTGCTGTTTTAACCCAAGTTTTGATGTCATTTGTTATACAATGATAGATAACTAATACAGATTTTGGTATCAGAAGTACAGTGTGGTCATAATAAAAACCTAAATATGCAGGCCGGACTCAGTGGCTCATGCCTATAATCCCAGCACTTACTGGGAAACTGAGGCAGGAGGATCACTTGAGGCCAAGAGTTTAAAACTAGCCTGGGCAACATAGCAAGACGTCATCTCTACAAAAAATAAAAAAGTAGCCAGGCATGGTGACATGTGCCTGTAGTCCCAGCAACTTAGAAGGTTGAGGTGGGGAATTGCTTGAGCCCAGGAGTTCGAGGCTGCAGTGAGCAGTGACTGCACCACTGCACTCCAGCCTGGGCGACAGTGTGAGACCCTACCTCAAAAAAAAAAAAAACAAAGAAAAAAAGAAAAAAGAAAGAAAAGAAAAGAAATAATTATCCCATACATACCAGTCATCCCATGCCCACCTCACCATTGTATGTTGGGTGTGTGAGGGGTAATTTGTCTCTTTAAATTCTCATGTCTTCAGATTGAAAGGAACTGTACTAAAGGAAATGCAGGTACTACTACACCTGTACTTGACAAAATGAGGTTCTAGACTTCTAACAGACTTCTAATACTGTAACAGAATATGGACTTAGGAGAAAGTGAGTGGGGTATCTGTGTGTGGAAGGAACAAAATCAATCACTAGGCGCCAGAAGCGGGACTATGATAGTCCCCCACCTTCTAAGATGGTGACCAGTGGTCCTTGTCTCCTGGCATTAACCCACTGATGCAGTCCCTTCCCATGATGACCAGAGCTGATCTGTAACACCAACGGGGTATTATAGAAATCAAAGAGTGTAGCCGGGCGTGGTGGTTCACCCTGTAATCCCAGCATTTTGGGAGGGCAAGGCAGGCGGATCACTTGAGATCAGGAGTTCAAGACCAGCCTGGCCAAAATGGTGAAACCCCATCTCTACTAAAAAAATTTAAAAAAAAAAAAAAAAAAAAAAAAGGCGGGCATGGTGGCGGGCACCTGTAATCCCAGCTACTCAGGAGGCTAAGGCAGGAGAATCGCTTGAGCCGGGGACCGGAGGTTGCAGTGAGCCAAGATCACGCCATTGTACTCTGGCCTGGGTGACAAGAGTGAAACTCTGTCTCAAAAAAATAAAAATAAAAAAAAGAAAGAATGTGAATCCTGATATTAGGTCACAAAAGACCTCCAGGCATCTGCCTTACTCTCTATTGGATCACTCACTCTGGGAGAAATAAGCTGCCTTGTCATGAGGACACTCGAACTGTCTGTGCCTCCCAAAGGCAGCACTGCTAGTGAGCCATCTTCAAAGCAGACCCTCCAACCCCCATGAAGCCTTCAAATGACCACATCCTTAGCCAACATCTTGACTGCAACCTTAGAATATCAGAGCCACTACACCAAACACAGCCACTGCAAATTCCCCACATAAAGAGACGGTGATTGTTGCTTCTAGTTGCTAAATTTTGGAATAATTTCCCACACATCAATAAAAAATTACTATACACTAATAAGATCCAGCAATTTTCTTTTAATTTTTTTTTTTTTTTTTTTGGAGATGGAATCTTGCTCTGTCACCCAGGCTGGCATGCAGTGGTGCTATCTCAGCTTACTGAAACCTCCACCTCCCGGGTTCAAGCGATTCTCCTGCCTCAGCCTCCCAAGTAACTGGGACTACCGGCATGCACCACCATGCCCAGTTATAAATTTTTTTTTTTTTTTTGAGACAGAGTCTCGCTCTGTCACCCAGGCTGGAGTGCAGTGGCGCCATCTCAGCTCTCAGTAACCTCCACCTCATGGGTTCAAATGATACTGCTGCCTCAGTCTCCTGAGTAGCTGGAATTATGGGCGCCTGCCACTACTCCTGGCTAATTTTGTTTGTATTTTTAGTAGAGACGGGTTTTGCCATGTAGGCCAGGCTGGTCTCAAACTCCTGACCTGAAGTGATCCGCCCACCTCGGCCTCCCAAAGTGCTAGGACTACAGGTGTGAGCCACAGCACCCAGACTATAAATTATTTTTTAATTAAAAAAAAAAAATAGGCTGGGCACGGTGGCTCACGCCTATAATCCCAGCACTTTGGGAGGCTGAGGTGGTCAGATTATGAAGTCAGGAGTTCGAGACCAGCCTAGCCAACATGGTGAAACTCCATCTCTACTAAAAACACAAAAATTAGCTGGGTGTGGTGGCAGGTACCTGTAATCCCAGCTACTCGGGAGGCTGAGGCAGGAGAATCGCTTGAACCTGGGAGGCGGAGGTTGCAGTGAACCGAGATCAGGCCATTGCACTCCAGCCTGGGTGAAAGAGAGAGACTCTGTCTCAAAAAACAAACAAACAAAAAAGAGACAGGGTCTAGGTTGCCCAAGCTAGTCTTGAACTCCTGGCCTGCAGTGATCCGATTCACCCTTCCAAAATGCTGGGATTATACAAGAGCCACTGCACCTTGCTGGGTATTTTTTAGTTTTGTTTTAACGACAGGGTCTCGCTCTGTTGCTCGACCTGGAATGTAGGAGTATGATCATAGCTCACTGCAGCTTCAAATTCCTGGGCTCAAGCAATTCTCCCGCCTCAGCCTCCTAAGCAGCCAGGACTATAGGTACACACCACCACAGCTGGCTAATTTTTAAATTTTTGTTAAAGGCAGGGTCTTGTTATGTTGCCCAGGCTGGTATTATACTCCTGGCCTCAAGCAATCCTCTTGCCTCTGCCTCCCAAAGTGCTGGGATTACAGATGTGAGCAACTGTGCCTGGCCCTACTTTTTCTTTAAATAAACTGCCATGGGAAAATTTCCATCAATACAGAAAGAAATAAAATAAGTTGTTCAACTTCTCAACCCTCCCTCACAGGCGTGTGACAAAAGAGGTTAGAAAAAGCAAGTCTTGGCTGGGTGTGGTGGCTCATGCCTGTAATCCCAGGACTCTGGGAGGCCAAGGTGGGTGGATCACCTGAGGTCAGGAGTTCGAGACCAGCCTGACCAACATGGTGAAACCTCATCTCTACTAAAAATACAAAAATTAGCTGGGTGTGGTGGCGGATGCCTGTAATCCCAGCTACTCAGGAGGCTGAGGCAGGAGAATTGCTTGAACCTGGGAGGCGGAGGTTGCAGTGAGCCGAGAACTCGCCATTGCACTCCAGCCTGGGCAACAGAGTAAGACTCTGTCTCAAAAAAAAAAAAGCAAGTCTCCTTTCCCGACTGTCAAAGGTTTGTTATAATGAAGCATCCCAGAGGAAAAATGTGTCTTTTTTTTTTTCTTTTTGAGACAAAGTCTCACTCTGTTGCCCAAGCTGGAGTGCAGTGGCGTGATCTTGGCTCACTGCAACCTCCACCTCTGGGGTTCAAGTGATTCTCCTGCCTCAGCCTCCCGAGTAGCTGGGACTACAGGCATGCACCACCATGCCAGGCTAACTTTTTTGTATTTTTTTTTAGCAGAGATGGGGTTTCATTATGTTGGCCAGGCTTGTCTTGAACTCCTGACCTCGTGATCCACCCACCTCGGCCTCCCAAGGTGCTGGGATTACAGGTGTGAGCCACTGCACCAAGCCAAATGTGTCTATCTTTATTACAATTACACCCAGCCTTCATTTGACCAAATGAGTCTTTACCATACCCACCAATTCTGCAACTTCCTTTTTCAACTTCCCAGTCCATCCTGAACAGCATGGCAGATCAATCCAACTATAGCTCCCTAATCCCTATTGGTGCCCAGGATGACAGTATATGAATATGTGCTGACTCTACTTTGTAAGTCCCCTGACAAATGAGTACAGCTTGGTTTCAGGTTTTGCCACTACAATCAAGGTCACAGTGAACGTCTTCACCCAATCTTGGCAAACTTTGGAGAGCACAGCCATGGGGAATGTTCCTCACCAGGGGATTACTGCCATTCAGCAACTTTTTTTGAACTATAAATACCTTATCAGCCTGAGTCAGGTACTCCAGTGGCCAGCTTTAAGGGAAGGCTTTCCTGGAAACAGCACCCCAGACGGTGCAGTGCCATCCTCGCCATGTGGCATGGCTGAGCACACCCAGACTGATCACACAGCACTAGGCTTTTAATGCACTTCAGCTCTGCCACTCACAGCAGATGGCTGGAAAGGCCCCGCCACACACCCAAAGACCATCACATGGACTGATCACCCTAAGTGACATTCAGGAAATCCAGATTCCCATCAGGACCCCACAACTTCCTTGCCCTGGAGGCGTCTCACTCTGTCACCTGAGCTGGAGGACAGTGGCACAATCTCAGCTCAGTACAGACTCAACCTCCCGGGCTCAAGCAATCCTCCCACCCCAGCCTCCCAAGTAGCTGGGATACACCACCACACCTAGCTGATTTATTTATTTTTTCCAGAGATGGGTTGGTTTTTTTGTTGGTTTTTTTTTTTTGAGACAGAGCCTCACTCTGTCACCCAGGCTGGAGTGCAGTAGCGTGATCTTGGCTCACTGCAACCTCTGCCTCCCGGGTTCAAGAGATTCTCCTGCCTCAGCCTCCCCAGTAGCTGATATTACAGGTGCTCGCCACCATGCCCGCCCAGGTAATTTTTTTGTATTTTTAGTACAGACGGCGTTTCACCATGTTGATCAGGCTGATCTCAAACTCCCGACCTCACATGATCCACCTGCCTCAGCCTCCCAGAGTGCTGGGATTACAGGCGTGAGCCACTGCACCCAGCCCATTTTCAGGTCTGAAAGTGGCTCTTGGCCAAAGTAACTGGACTCTGACCAGCCACACATGGAGGCCACTGCTCCTAGGACAAGCAGCAAATGATCACAGCTGACAAGAGTTTGGACGATCACCCTCGTAGCATGCACAGCCCACACAGGCACACCGGCATCACCCTCGTTCTCCAGACGTGAGGATGTCTGCCAACCCACCCCTGCAGAATCACCGCTAGGGTAGACACTGAGGCAAGTGCTTGATGTGGGGAAACTTAGCTGGTCTCTGAGGCAACCCCTACCACCCTACACACAAGGAAAAGAAGGCATGTTACATGCACTGTCACTGACACACGGACACTGCTTACATACTTCCAGGTGGAAATAAGCTTCAGAGGAGCAGGGAGAAAACCAACCTGTGTGCATGTGCACATGTGTACGTGTTTCAAAGAGGAGATGACAGATGTGTATGTGCACAGGAACTTTCTGGAAGACTTCACAGGAAAACTTTTCTATTTTTTAAATTTATTTAGAGACACGATCTTGCTGTCGCCCAGGCTGCAGTGCAGTGGTGTCACCATGGCTCACTGCAGCCTCAACTTCCCAGGCTCAAGCCATCCTCCCACCTCAGCCTCCTGAATAGCTGGGAATAGAGGTATGAGCTGCTGCGCCTGGCTACAGGAAACTTTACAAAGGCTGCTTCTGGAGGGTTAGCTGGGAATGGGGATGAGGAAATTTTTTTTTTTTTTTTGACAGAGTCTCCCTCTGTCGCCCAGGCTGGAGTGCAGTGGCGCAATCGCAGCTCACTGCAACCTCTGCCGCACGGGTTCAAGCGATTCTCCTGCCTCAGTCTCCCAAGTAGCTGGGATTGCAGGCGTATGTCACCAAAACTGGCTAATTTTTGTATTTTTAGTGGAGATGGGGTTTCACCATGATGGCCAGGCTGGTCTCGAACTCCTTACCTCAAGTGATCCACCCACCCCGGCCTCTCAAAGTTCAGGAATCACAGGCATGAGCCATCGCGCCCAGCCAGGGTTGAGGAAATTTTACAATGTTTTATCTGTTTCTAGACTGGGTGATAAGGGCGTATGACAAAAGAGATTAGAAAAAGCTCCTTCCGGCCAGGCGCAGTGGCTCATGCCTGTAATCCCAGGTGAGGCAGGCAGATCACCTGAGGTCAGGGGTTTGAGACCAGCCTGGCCAACATGGTGAAATCCCGTCTCTACTAAAAATACAAAAATTAGCTGAGCAGGGTGGCGCATAATTGTAATTCCAGCTACTCGGGAGGCTGAGGTAGGAGAATAGCTTGAATCCAGGAGGCGGAAGTTGCAGTGAGCTGAGATAGCACGACTGCAGTCCACTCTGGGCGAGAGAGTGAGACTCCATCTCAAAAAAAAAAAAAGAAAAAAGAAAAAGCTCCTTCCTTTCCTGACTGTCCTGTCTCTCAGGGGCCCCACTTTTCATTTGAAGCCTCTGTGGTTTGTCACCATGAGTCCATAGGTGTCTACAATTCAGGAAAGAAACTGGCCCCACTTCTGCCAGCAGCAGATTCCTTCAGAGCAGAGCCAGGAGAAATTCAGGCCTCAGCAGAGACTCCAGGGTCAGCGATCACACAGGCAACCCCTCCCTTAAGCTGCAGTGAGAACCTGAGTCCTGCCTACAAGAAGAGGGAAGAGCTGCCCCTTAGGGCTCCCAGATTCCCAAATAACTCACACACACGGCCAAGGGTGAGTCCGGCCCAGTAGCCACTTACCTGGCAGAAAGACTTCATCTTGTCCAGAACCTTGTTGACCTCTGGCATCACATCCTTGCCGTCTACCAGGATGGGTGTGTTTGACCGGTTCCGCAGAGCCACGTGCAGCACGGCTCGACCCTGGGGATTACGGTCAGGATATAAAGACTGTCCCCCCCAACCCCAGGCAGCCATGCTCCCAGCTGGGCATGGTGCCATAGCTCGGCCCTCTATCCACTAGACAGGCAGGCCCTGAGGTCTCTGTTAGCACCATAACCTTGTTCCAAGAACCCACTGTATGCTTAGAGGAGTAGGAGCTCCCCAAGGACTTATGTGCTGCAGACAGTCAGGAGGAGAGGAGGGGACCCATATATGCCTAGGACAGGCCCCGAAGGCCTGCCAGAGATGCTCAGGGCATGAACAGTGAGAGAAAAGAGGAACAGTGAGCAAAGGCAGAGAATGGCAACAATACATGTCAGAAACAAGCAATAAATGCTTTCAGAGGCCGGGCGCCATGGCTCACGCCTGTAATCCCGGAACTCTGGGAGGCCATGGCAGGTGGATAACTTGAGGTCATGAATTCGAGACCAGCCTGGCCAACATGGTGACATCCTGTCTCTACTAAAAATACAAAAATCAGCCAGGTGGGGGTGGCACACACCTGTAGTTCCAGCTACTCAGGAATCTGAGGCAGAGAATCGCCTGAACCCATTAGACAGAGGTTGCAGTGAGCCAAGATCGCACCACTGCACTCCAGCCTGGGCGACAGAGCAAGACTCCATCTCAAAATAAATAAATAAATAAACGCTTTCCGAAGA
Source organism: Homo sapiens (assembly GCF_000001405.40). Lineage (NCBI taxonomy): Eukaryota > Metazoa > Chordata > Mammalia > Primates > Hominidae > Homo > Homo sapiens. Next base: position 17,097 of record NT_187619.1, on the reverse strand, counting down.
TGAGTGCTCATGAAGCCTGAAGTAACCTCATCCTCCCAATGTGTGTCCATGGTGTTTGCTGGCACGTTTTAGGCAGTGTCCTCAGCTCCTTGGATTTGCAGCAAGGCATGCAACTCAAGCTTCCCTCACCAAGCAGCCCGATAACTACCAACTGCCAGGAACCAAACCAGACTTGAAGTCTGTGACGGGTGCCAGGCGGCTGGCCCAGCCACGTGAGTGAAATGGCCTGAAGTCAGCAGAGGAGTCCTTGAGGGAAGGTCTAACGACCCCAGGTGGGCAGGAAAAGGATCATCTTGGGATTCCGACCCAGTGAGAGGCTTGCTAAGGTGGAGGGCTTCATGCCACCCCACCCTCACCCTGCCAGACCCCACTCCTGCGCCACATTTTATTGGCAAATGCACTCCTCCAGAAAGCCTTCCTTGATTGCATCCTCTCTCAGCTTAGACCCACAATGCAAGACAGGTTGAGTGTGAATCTCCATTCTGCCTCTTACAGCTATGACATCTTAGATAAGTGATGTGACCTCTGAACCTCAGACTCCTCACATGTAAGAGGAGGATAATGACATCATGAGGACAGAGTCTGGGTGCTCAGTGTCCATTATACCTCCAGGCTGGGCTCCCATACTGAGTCAGGAACAGGGGCCCCCAGGCCTGGCCTCACCACTGCTTCCTATTGACTCCTACTGCTTGAGTAGGCTGAAGTCTTTGGTGATCTAAGATTCTTCTTGTCGCTACTAAAACTTGCATTGAGGATATATTAGAGTTAACTTCTCCAAGAAAATGTCAGCCTTGAGAAACTCTCCCTGTGGGTATGAGATATGCTCCTCCCAGGCAGACACTGGGAACCATTCCAAGGAGCTCACCAAACCAATCTTGTGGAAGGCACACCCCAAAGCCCTGCTACAAGCAGGAGGAAAAAGGCCTTCAGGCCCCTCATTAAGCAAAAGCATTGCCCAAGAGAAGGGGTGAAGACACAGGGTGATGCGGCTAACAGTCAGATAAACCCCAAAGGGAAGGAAGGAGGCCCCAGAGGGTATGTGGGGCCTGCTCACCTCGGTGTAGTTGATCTTCTCACCATTGAACATCCGCTCCCGGGCGGCCTCCACGCCCCTGGACTTGGCCTAGGAAGAGACGATACTGAGGCCTGGTCCCACCCACACTGGCCACCCCAAGTGTCAGCCCCCAAACACAAGGCTTGGTGCTGTCCCCAATGAGACAGACAGACGGCTGCTGTCTGGTTCCCTCCCCTGCTGTCTGGGAAGGGTCTACTCAGACATCAGACACTGGGGTCCCTGGGATGCTGCTTAGAACCTAAGCCAGGGACAGGTGCCTCACCAGCACAGAGGAGGTGACTGAGGTCTAATGAGAGGAAGAACTCAAGATACTCAAGGTCCTGGGGACTCCCAGGAGCCCAGCTCACCCACCACTCTGTCGGTTACCAGTTATGCCTCCCCAAGCAGAACATTACCAAGTCCACCAGCATCCGCATCACGTCCTCCGTCACCAGGTTCTTGGAGTAATCCACCAGGATATGCCCATGGTTGGTGTTGAGGGTCAAGCTGCAGAAAGATGGAGATGCTGCTGACCACACCCTGGTCTCCCTAGCGGGGAGCCATGCCCTAAGCAGGAGCTGTTCCCAGAAGAAACATCCTCCCTGACCCACGCCCCACAAGGGCCGCGGCCACCCAGCACAGTGGTGGTGTCTGTCACCTGCTGGCCCACCAGGATGATCTGCAACAGCAGCCCAGAGAAAGAAGCCATCCTCACAGACCGTAGATGCAGGCAGACCCTGGATGAGGAGCCCGGACTGAAGTGGGGGACCACCCCTTCCCAGGGCTTCCACTTTCTGCCGTAAGTTACTCAGGCACCCATCCAGATGACAGGGATGGCCATCGGGACGTCTAGCCCGGAGCCACAGTCGCTCCCCTCCCCCGCCTCCACCAGTATCAGTGATCAGAGCTCCCTTGGCCGCACTCCCGCCCATGATTTGCTCAAACACTCCTTCCCACTTCCCGGTCGTGCACAGGTGTCTTCTGCAGGAATCACGCCCGACGTCTCCATCCTTCCACCCAGCTCCCTCAAACACCCCCGCCCGGGCTGCCCGCCCTGCAGACGCTCCCAAGCTCATGTGGCCAGGAGCGGATGGAAAGGGACAGCCCTTTCCCGCTTGCTGCGTCAGCCAAGGCCTCTCTTCACAACTGCGAAAGGAGCCCCTGCTCAAATGGCCAGAGCTGCACGGGGAGGAGGAGGGGAAATGTCCCCACGGAGGGGCCCGTTTTTCCTCGTAACGAAGCAGACCCGGGGCCGAGACTCCCGGCGAGGCTGCAAGCCCCCAGGAACGCACTCCAAGGAGACTCCAAGGACGAAGTGCGGACTCGGCCTGGGCCCCAGTCCGTGGCCTGGAGGTCGGGGACTGGGGTCCCCGGGCACCGCTGCCCCCGCCTCCAGACCCCAGGCCCGCGTGCCCGGTTCCGGGCGCCGCGCGTGGCAGCCCCCGCCTCCGGCCCGCCCGCACCTGAAGTGGTTGAAGCGGTCCTTGTTGGCATCGAAGAGGCGGCGCAGGTTCAGCTCGGAGCGGTGCTCGCGGTACCATTGCTGCAGCTTCTGGAACTGGGGGTCCCGGGTGAGAGCGGCCATGGCGGGACTAGAAGGTACACTGAGTGAGACGCGAGCCGAGGAGGAAGGAGCGCCGGCAGCGCGCAGCAAGCGAGGCGCGTGGGCGCGCGGCGGCCTTTATGGCGCAGGCGCCCGGCCCGGCCCGGCCCGGCCCCACCCCTGAGCCCCGGCCCCGCCCCCGACCCGCGCCCCGATACCCAGGCCGGGTGCCCGCTGAGCGACCTTGCCCGCGGCCGCTGATCTGGGGCCTCAGCTCCTCTCTCCCTACCTCTTGCGCCGCCGCTTTGCTGGCCTCTGCCCGGAAGTGGCAGTGGGGAGGGTGGGCAGAGCCCGGGGATCACTGGAGCCCAGGTGTTGGAGGCTGCAGAGAGCTACCATCGCGCCGCTGCACTCCCTGTGCACTAGTCGGCTTCATTCATTCATTCGACAAAACTCTATAGATCGAACACCTTCCACGTTACAGGCAGTGTTCTAGGCGCTGTGGATACATATGTGCCAAATAAGCAAGTACAACAGATGATGTGTGTCTGCTGGTGGTAAGGGCTATTGAGGAAAACCAAGATGAAAAGGGTGCTGAGAATCGGGGTTGCAATTAAGAAAAAAGTGACTAGGCCGGGCGCGGTGGCTCACGCCTGTAATCTCATCACTTTGGGAGGCCGAGGCAGGCGGATCATGTGAGGCCAGGAGTTCCAGACCAGACTGGCCAACCTGGTGAAACCTCATCTCTACTGAAAAAAAAAATGCAAAAATTAGCCGGGCCTGGTGACACGTGCCTGTATTCCCAGCTAACTCGGGAGGCTGAGGCAGGATAATCACTTGAACCTGGGAGGTGAAGACTGCAGTGAGCCACTGTACTCCAGCCTGGGTGGCAGAGTGAGACTCCATCTCAAAAAAAAAAAAAAAGATGAGGTCAGAGAGCAAAAGGGAGGCAACAAGATCACGTAAGACCTTGTAAGTCATTGTAAGAACTCTGGGGCTGGGCACTCCTGCCTATAATCCCAGCACTTTGGGAGGTGGGATAGCTTGACGCCAGGAGTTCAAGCCGAGCCTGGGCAAGACAGCAAAACACTGCTTCTAAAATACTAAAAATAAATTAGCGGGGCATGTGGTGGTGCATATCTGCAGAGTCCCAGCTACTCGGGAGGCCAAGGCAGGAGGATCACTTGAGTCCAGGAGTTAGAGGCTGCCGTGATTACCACCACTGTACTCCAGCTTGGGTGACACAGCAACACCTTGTCTTAAAAAAAAGAAAAGAAAAGAAAAGAAAATAGGGAAAGGCTGACAACAAAAGAAATAAGTGGTCACTGAGGGGTCACAGGACTTTCCAGGGAACAGCCCTGTCCACATGGCCCTTTTCTAAGAACTGTCAACTCTTAAGATTTCACTGAGCTTCCACACCTAGCACAACCCTGGTAGTGCTGAACAGTATCTGTTCTACTGGAGTTCTTTTTTTGTTTGTTTGTTTGTTTGAGATGGAGTCTCGCTCTGTCACCAGGCTGGAGTGCAGTGGCGTGATCTCAGCTCACTGCAACCTCCACCTCCCTGGTTCAAGCGATTCTCCTGCCTCAGCCTCCTGAGTAGCTGGGACTACAGGCGCACGCCACCACACCCAACTAATTTTTGTATTTTTAGTAGAGATGGAGTTTCACCATGTTGGCCAGGATGGTCTCAATCTCTTGACCTCATTATCCGCCTGCCTCAGCCTCCCAAAGTGCTGGGATTACAGGCATGAGCCACTGCGCCTGGCCTCTACGGGGGTTCTGAGAAACACTCCAATCAGGGTTTTCTAAGCCAGTTACTCATCTACACAGAAGAGAATTCCCACCCCAAATCCTCTGTTTCAGAACAAAACCTCAACCAATGGGAAGGCGAGTCTCAGTAGCCACTGCCCCATTATCACTTACCCTGTGATTCCTCAGATGACTCTAGCCCAATAGTAACCACTGACTCCCTCTGACTCCTCCTTCTTTTTTTTTTTTTGAGACAGGGTCTCACTCTGTCACACCCAGGTTGGAGTGCAGTGACACGATCTTGTCTCACTACAGCCTCTGCCTCCCAGGCTCAAGCGATCTTTTCAACTCACCCTTCTGAGTAGCCAGGACTACAGGTGTGCACCACCATGCCCAGCTAATTTTTTCCTTGTAGAGACAAGCTTTGTTATTTTTTGTACAGACGAGGTTTCATCATGTTGCTTAGGCTAGTCTCGAATCCTTGGGTGCAAGTGATCTGCCTGCCTTGGCTTCCCAAAGTGCTGGGATTACAGGCATGCAGCACTGCACCTGCAAACTGAGACTGCCTTTTTCTAGTAGGTTATTTTGGTGACCAGATGGACGGCTGTTGTTCTTTGTCTAAAACCATCCTCTCCCACCCGTGTTTCTACCCCTGCCTGAATCCATCAGAGATGAGCACATAACTTATGCCAGCTAAACAGGGTCCTTTTCCAGGGCCCTGCAGCCAGCAGCAGAAAGTCTCTGCTTTTTATGGTGTTAAGCTGCCTGTCAGAAAGGACAGACCTGAGCTCTAGCCCCTGGTCTTGAGGAAAATAACGAAGAGAATGATCCCCACAGAGATGTCAGAGTGAATCTCACAGTGCCCAGGTTCCTGGGGCCAGGCCACCTCTACCTGCAGCTAGAATGTAAACCAACGATTCCCTTTAGTGTCTGTTTGGAGTTCAGTTGTCATTCACAACTCCAAGTCTTTCCAAAGATGTTACGGGTGTTCACCTTTCCACTGCCACAGTCTTGTCCAGTGTCCTCTCCCGACCACCAGGAACCCTAGAAACAGCTTTGGGTATTGCGAAAGAGGCAGGAGGTGAGGCCTCTGATGATTGCCATTTCAAAGGTTTCCCCTGCCTTTTAATCTTCCATAATGTACACCTCTGCAACTTGGCCTCTGTGATTCCCAGAAGCTTCAACTATTCCAGATTTCACATTTACTTTGAAACTCCAGTTACATGGATTTTCTTTTTTTCTTCTTTTTTTTTGAGATGAAGTTTCACTCTTGTTGCCCAGGCTAGAGTGCAATGGCACGATGTTGGCTCACTGCAACCTCTGCTTCCCTGCAACCTCCACCTCCCAGGTTCAAGCAATTCTCTTGCCTCAGCCTCCCTAGTAGCTGGGGTTACAGGCACCCGCCACCTCACCAGGCTAATTTTTTTTTTTTTTTTTTTTTTGAGATGGAGTCTCCCTCTATCACCAGGCCAGAGTGCAGTGGCACCATCTCGGCTCACTGCAACCTCCGACTCCCTGGTTCAAGCAATTCTCCTGCTTCAGCCTCCCGAGTAGCTGAGATTACAGGCATGCAACACTACGTCCAGCTAATTTTTGTATTTTTAGTAGAGTTGGGGTTTCACTGTGTTGACCAGGATGGTCTCGATCTCCTGACCTCGTGATCCGTCTGCCTCAGCCTCCCAAAGTGCTGGGATTACAGGCGTGAGCCACTGCACCCGGCCTAATTTTTGTATTTTTAGTAGAGATGGGGTTTCACCATGTTGGCCAGGGTAGTCTCGAACTCCTGACCTAAGGTAATCCACCCACCTCGGCTTCCCAAAGTGCTGGGATTACAGGCATGCAACACCGCGCCCAGCCTGGATTTTCTATGTTAGCAGGAAACTAGGTTCCTATCTGGTGGGCCATAAATCACAGTGGCTACAGGGAGAAAGCACAGAAAAGTAAGAAGAAAAGTCTAATCCAAAGCCATTTTGGATTAGAAAGTACTAATCCAAAGCCATTCATCATCATACTACAAAACTACCAACACGGCCACTACTCCAGCCAGGTTTACTACGTGCACAGCTCCATGCTAAATCCTTTCCATGTATCCCTCATGGCAGTCCTATGAAGGATACCCTGTTGTCCTCCCCATTTAACAGAGAGGTTAAGAAATGTGAAATGAGGCCGGGCACGGTGGCTCACGCCTGTAATCCCAGTACTTTTGGAGGCTGAGGTGGGTGGATCACGAGTTCAGGAGTTCGAGACCAGCCTGAGCAACATGGTGAAACCCCCGTCTCTACTAAAAATACAAAAAAATTAGCTGGACGTGGTGGCGGGCACCTGTAATCCCAGCTACTTGAGAGGCTGAGGCAAGAGAATGGAGTGAACCCAGGAGGCAGAGCTTACAGTGAGCTGAATCATGCCACTGCACTCCAGCCTGGGCGACAGAGCGAGACTCTGTCTCAAAAAAAAAGGAAAGAAAGAAATGTGAAACAAGGCCGGGTGCAGTGACTCACACCTGTAATCCCAACACTTTGGGAGGCCGAGGCAGGTGGATCACTTGAAGCCAGGAGTTTGAGACCAGTCTGGCCACCATGGTGAAACCCTGTCTCTACTAAAATTACAAAAATTAGCCAGGCGTGGTGGCGGACACCTGTAATCCCAGTTACTGGGGAGGCTGAGGCAGGAGAATCACTTGAACCCGGGTGGCAGAGGTTGCAGCGAGCCAAGATCATGCCACTGCACTCCGGCCTGGGTCACAGAGTGACACCCTGTCTCCAAAAAAATAGAAAGAAAGAAATATGAAACAAGCCACTCTGCTCTTAACTAGAGAATCAACCCAGGCTGCCTGGTTCCTTCCTGAGACCTGTGCTCCTGCCAGTTCCTCTTCAGTCCTAGGAAAAAGGTGGAGGGAAAGTGGAGGAGCAGGCAATCCCTTTCTCCACTCCTCATCATCCCAGTTATGTCTTATTAGTTGAAACAGTGTCTCGCTCTGTCACCCAGGCTGGAGTGCGGTGGCATGACCATAGCTCACTGCAGCCTTGAACTCTGGGCTCAAGCGATTCTCTCACCTCGGTCTCCTGAGTAGCTAGAACTACAGGCATGACCACCCCGTCCCGGCTAATTTTCTTATTATTATTATTTGTAGAGACTGAGTTGCACTGTGTTGCCCAGGCTGGTCTCAAATTCCTGGCTTCAAGAGATCTTCCTGCCTCAGCCTCCCAAACTGTTGGGATTACAGGTATGCGTCACTGTGCCTGGCCATAAGGTCATTTTATATTCTGTTGTCTATCACCATCAGTACAATCACTACCATATGCTGAGCCAAGTCCTGCCGATCGCAGAGCTTAGGGCTCAGAATCCCCAGGATCCTGGGGGGTAGTGAAGCTGGGAGGGGTCATGCTCCCAGGCCAGGGACTGACCAAGGAGAATCGAAAGGAAACCTAGCCCAGAAATTCCAAGAGAACATGCTGCAGAGCCGGACACCTTCACGTGCCCCCAGCAAGATGATGTGGCCCTGAGAGAGGAGCGGACCAGAGGGTACACCTGACAGCAGAGGCAAGTTAGGAAGTCCGGGGACAGTCCTAACTCTGGATAGCAAAGATTTAATTTCAAGCATAAGGCAGCCCTGGAAAAGCAATTGACTGCCACTGAGTATTGATGAAGCTAGCACTTACTGCAGGCTGTGGCGGGCACAGTTCCAAACAAGAGCCCCGTTCTAAAGATGGGGAAACTGAGGTATCGGCATTTAGACATCACAGACCTTACTTCAGGGCCGCTGGACAGGGGTCAGGCAGGCCCTGGAGCACAGGTGGCCATGGGAGTGAAGGCAGAGGGACTGGGGCAGAGGACTGGTGGGGTGGTCAGTTCTGGGGCCTGAGCTGAAGAAGTCGGGAGCGGGGCGTGGCGTGGCGTTTCCACGCCCATGGATTTTAGACAGCTGTTCCGGGGGAGGAGGCGAGCCCACCGAGGATGCTGAGTCATGTTGACCGGCGAAGGCGAGGGGACCACGCCTCTGGAGCTACCGGGGTTGGCTCATCGCCTCCGGGGAGGCCACGGAGCAGGTGTAGGCGGGGTTGAGCGCAGGCGCGGATGGGGCGGGGGTAATGCGCACGCGTGTGCGTGTGGGCCAGCACGTCCGGGTGGTCAGGACGCGCGCTTGTGCGCATGTCCCCGCGCAGGGTCGGGCGCTGGGGTGTGGAGACTGAACCTTGCAGACACCCGGGTCCGCACGTCTGGGATGGACGTGGTGAGTGCACGTGCGCACGCGCTGCGTAGGGGCGGCTGCGCTCATGCGCACATCGGGAGTGGTGCTTGGAGAGGCCACCTACTCACCGCGCCCCCAAGAGGCCGGGGGTTTGTCCCTGGTGTTGGCCCTACCCTGCGCGATCCAGTCTTGTCGTTTCGGGGCTTCATTACCAGAGCCCCGTGAATCCTTTGCTAGATGCTTAAAAACATTTTCCCCATTGTACATAGCTGTTTCCACGAGAATAAAAAGCTTTACATTTATTTGAGGCCTGCTTGGGCCTATCCGCAGCTCCACCGTAGTGCTAATCCCCTCCCAGTCCTGGAACAGCCCAGATGATGTATTTAATAGTATTCTTTTAGCCCAACGCGAGAATGTTTTCGTCTGGTTGTTTTTGTTTTTCGTTTTTAGAGACAGTCTCGCTATATTACCCAGGCTGGAGTGCAGTGTCAAGATCTCGACTCACTGCAGCCTTGAACTCCTGGGCTCAAGTGATCCTCCCACAGTGCTGGGATTACAGGCGTGAGCCACCGCACCCGGCCTCTAGTTCTGTCTTTTTGCTCAGTATTAGAATTCGTAAGTTCTGGCCCCAGCAACTCGTCCTTTCATCTGTCTCAAGTTGCACTGTGGTGGTCACAGGAGCTGTCCTGCACCTTGCACATGTGGCCATGAACAAGACTCGCTCCTTGCTCTCATGGGGCCTTCATTCCAGTGAGACACAAATGCAAACACAAAATTCCAGAAGAGTGCTGAGTGCTATCATGAGAAACGAAGACAGGCTGGAAGATGGGCTCTGACCCCAGAAAACCGATGGAGAGGCCCAAGCAGCCTTGGGAGCAACAGGCAAGTTGGAGGACACACGGCAAGGCTACTTGGAAGTAGGGGAGGGTGCATGGGAAACCCTGAGGCTGTGGGGGGAGAGGCAGGAGCCAGGTGAAGTCCAGGTAGATGGCAGTGGAGATGTAAGAACATGGTGGAATTTTTTTGTTTTTGAGACGGAGTCTTGCTCTGTCCCCCAGGGTGGAGTGCAATGGTGAGATCTCAACTCACTGCAACTTCCGCCTCCCAGGTTCAAGCGATTCTCTGGGATTATAGGCACCTGCCACCATGCCCAGCTAATTTTTGTATTTTTTAGTAGAGATGGGTTTTCACCATGTTGGTCAGGCTAGTCTCGAACTCCTGACCGCGGGTGATCCGCCCGCCTCAGCTTCCCAAAGTGCTGGGATTACAGGCGTGAGCCACCGCGCCTGGCCAGAACATGGTGGAATTTGAGTGTGCTTGGGAATACACTTATAGGACTTGCTGATTAGTTGAATGAGGAAATAAAAGAACGAAGAATATCTTCTGGGATTTCAGCCTGAGCAACTGGGTTGCTGGTGGATGGTGGTTCTCTTATCAAGGATGGGAAAGATGGGTTGTCTCCCCTAAAATACTGAGTTTTAAAGGCAGGGACTGTATCTTTGCAGTCCTGGCTCCTAGCAAGGGCCTAGCCCTTATATGACATTCGTGAATGTTGAAATGAATGTGACACGCCTGAAACAATCCTTCTCCCTCACCTAGGCCCACATCTCCAAGTCAATATTCCAGTACAAGCCACATCCAGTCCCCTCACTGACACACACAGGCCTGGGCCCAGGAGCTCACCCCTGTGCTGTAAGGCTAGGTGCATGTGTTATTTCCAGAGTCTACCCTTGGAGGTGCCTCAGACTCCTGGGTACCTGTCGCTGGGAGGTAGCCAGTCATGCTGTCCACATACATGCTTTTGGGCAGTAGAGAAGCTGATCATTGGGAAGGTTTATTTCCTGTCTCCACAACAGGAGGCAGGTCACAGCAGTGGCCACACAGTGCACAAAAGGCCATCCCCTCACAGCCGCATGGTTGGCATGCAGCATCTCAGCCTCCAAACTGGAAGCCCCCTATCCAAGGAGCCCCCAGGTGGGAGAGGAAGGTCACAAGCCTCCCAAGTACCTCAAGATGCCTGCGCATCCTCCCCCATTTCTCAGATGGGCCAAGGCCTGTGAAGCCCTTGCAGTAGTAGCTCAGGTGTAGCATCTGCTCAGCTTCCCTCCCCACTCATTTGCACACAGCCAGAGCTGCGGGACTTCTGCCCTCTGGCCTCCAGCACTGCTGTGAATCAGAACTAGTCAAGAGAACTGGGTGCTTGTGTTAAATGGGAACACTCTGGAATAAAATATGGGCTTTTTTAAAGAGATGGGGTCTCACTATGTTGCCCAGGCTGGTCTTGAACTCCTGGCCTCAAGCAATCCTCCCAGGTCAGCCTCCCAAATTGCTGGGATTACAGGCGTGAGCCAGCACACCCAGCCCCTGCTAGCTTTTTAATATGAACTTCCAGTGTATTCTTGAGCACTCTCAGGCAACATGGCCGTTACCGAGCAACTTTGTCCTGAGGTGCATTTGGAAGGCTCTGGGACTTGGTCCCCATGCTCAACTTCAGGGCACCTTGGCAGAAAGAAGAGTGGTTCCTACACCAGCAGCTTATATATTAATGCCCACATTACTCCATTTTCTTCAGGTCGTCAAAAAAGGTTCCACTGAGGTGCTGTCTTTCTGTAAATGAAAATGAGCTGAAATGCTCCTGTGACCTGCCCTCCATTTGTGGGTCTCATGATACTATCTTTCTTCTGCTTAACACGATGGCATCATCCAGTGAGACAGGTCCTGTTTTTGTTTTTTTCTTTTTTTCTTTTTCTTTTTTGAGACAGAGTCTCACTCTGTTGCCCAGGCTGGAGTGCAGTGGAGCAGTCTTGGCTCACTGCAACCTCTGCCTCCCGGGTGCAAGCAGTTCTCCTGCCTCAGCCTTCCAAGCAGCTGGGATTACAGGTACCTGCGACCATACCACCTAATTTTTTGTATTTTTAGTAGAGATGGGGTTTCGCCATGTTGGGCAGGCTGGTCTTGAACTCCTGACCTCATGATCTACTGTCTCAGCCTCTCAAAGTGGTGGGATTATAGGCGTGAGCCACAGTGCCTGGCTTTTTTTTTTTTTTGGAGACAGCCCCATCGTTCTGTCGCCAGGCTGGAGTGCAGTGGTGCGATCTCGGCTCACTGCAACCTCTGACTTCCTGGTTCAAGCGATTCTTCTGCCTAAGCCTCCTGAGTAGCTGGGATTACAGGCACACGCCACCATGCCCGACTAATTTTTGTATTCTTAGTAGAGATGGGGTTTCACCATGTTGGCCAGGATGGTCTCGATCTCCCGGCCTTGTGGTCCACCTGCCTCAGCCACCTACAGTTCTGGGATTACAGGTGTGAGCCACTGCGGCCGGCAGAGACAGGTCCTTCTTATCCCTGTAAGGCACAGTATCTCTGCCATAGATTGGGTCCCTGGTTTGGGAAGAGGGTAAAACAAGCCCTCATTCTTGGGTCTCGTCATTGGACAAGCTGGCTGGGCAAGTCACAGCATCCACATTTGGTGGAACATGGGTGTTGGTAGACCCCAACCCAGAGAGCTTGCACCCTTGCAGAGGACGTCTCCTTCACTACTGCACTGGCTCCCCCTGCACAGGGGCCTAAACCAGCTTGGGCCTTAGGGAAGCCAATAGGGGAGGCGTAGCTGCTTGTTCTCCCTCCTGCCCATCCACTTCAGCTCACCGTAATATCCCAAGTGGTCTTCCCCTTGCTAGAATCAGAGGACAGGCTGACCTAAAAACCAACTCAGTATGCAGCTTTTCAAAGCAATGAGTCAGGCAGGGCTTTTGACATAATGTCCTCTGCAGTTCATTTTAAACAAGGATACAAAGTATTATTAAATGTATATTTTTAATAAAGCCAATAGTTATTTTACTTATAGGAGCTTTAAAAGATACAAAATGTAGAGTTCCAGTTTGGAAGCATTGTAACTATACACACAATGTCCTGCTGATGCCCTAGCAAGGCACCCACGCCCAACCATGCAAAGGACACACACGTTCACACATGCACACACATGCGCTTTGGCGAGACCCCTCTGCCAAGCGCAGCACCTGGAATTACCAGTGTTCAGAGCAAGGCGGTGCCGGGAACACAGCACCTACATGGAGACCACACAAACGGCTTCACACAGTCTCACAGCCCATGGAGATGCAATTAGAAAATGTCTTCCTTAATAGAGAAAAACAAACTGGAAAGTGACAATTAGTGACGTCACCTGTGCTGGAGCATCAAGGATTGACCTCTGTCCAAGGTGAGGCCTTTGGAGAGGCACTATTAAAACATGAGTACTTCAGTATAATGGAACTCGAAATACAGGGTACTGTGGACACATTACTGAAGGAAATAGAAAACTATCTTACAAGTAGAACAGCCATAGACAACTTTAACAGAGATTAGTGTGCACACCGTGACAGCTAACACAGACAAGAGCCACGCAGGGTTGGTGCAAAGCACGTGCCTGAAAATGTCTATATACAAAACAGTTCTTTGTAAACATGGTGAGGTGAATGCTCAGAACCACGGCAAAAGATCATAAATACAGGCAGCAATGCATCCCCACACAGCACAAAAGACAACACCTGAGGCCTGGGAAGAGCCTGACAACACAGTACTAAAAACTCAGGTGGCTGGGCTCAGACACCCTACGGGTCCTCTCAAATTAGTGTGTGTGTTTACATACATACATACATACATATATATATATTCTTTTTTTTTTTTCTTGTTGAGACGGAATCTCACTCTGTCACCCAGGCTGGAGTGCAGTGGCACAATCTCAGCTCACTGTAACCTCCGCCTCCCGGGTTCAAGCGATTCTTCTGCTTCAGCCTCCCGAGTAGCTGGGACTACAGGCGCACGCCACCACACCCGGCTAATTTTTGTATTTTTAGTAGAGATGGGGTTTCACCATATTGGCCAGGCTGGTCTCGAACTCCTGACCTTAGGTGATCCACCTGCCTCGGCCTCCCAAAGTGCTGGGATTACAGGCGTGAGCCACCACGCCCAGCCTCTTTTTGGTATTTTTATATATAAATTTACTTATATCTGTAGAAAAACGAGAACATAAATGTGTTATTACAATCTTTGCTGGAAAAGCTTATATGGAGTTAGAAAGAATAAACCATTTATTAGTAGTTAACATATATTAAAATGGTTTAATGATTTAAGAAAATATAAAAAAAATATTAATACTGTCAAACTTTCATACCAGAAAATATTATGGATTTTTCTCAGACTTTTTCAAAGATGAAATATGAAAAATTTAAATAAGTTTTATATAAAGAACTTTCTGTAACCTCAATTAATATACAGTGGGATATGTCTATTCTATATAGATATATTTATTATTATTTCTCAATTTAAGCACCATTCAATTCTTCTGGATCCATTCTGGCTGGAAAATATCCCTAAATCCACAGGATGTTATCTATTTAATGGCACATGTTAACTGAAAATGAGGTGGATTTTTTTTTTAAGAAAAGACCTTAAATTAATTTCTATCTACATCTTAATTGGTTTGTCTTCTGAGCCAGCTCACAATGTCAATGCAATTTCTAGTGCAGGTGTCTCTGAGTGCCCCTTGACCACACCCCGAGGATTGTGGCAGTGTCCTGGCCATGTGTGGAAGGATCGAAGGGCAGCAGGTGCAGCCTTGCTCTGCACATGGACAGCAGCTGGCTGGTCCACCGCCACGCACCTTCAGCAGTGTACCTCCGGCACAAGTTCCACCATTCTGCTTCAATAAAGCTGGGAAAGGCCGCAGTCCCAGGGTGCTGCTGGGTGGCGAGGAACTGTCCACCCCCAGAAACCCCAGGTGACTGCTTCCAATCACAAATATTCTATATTTTGCCCATTTTGTATAAGCTTAAATATAGATAGTGTTAAACAAACCTCCAGCCAGTATATCTGTTATCTTAAAATATTCAATGCATTTTAGGCAGGAGATGTTTTAACTAAAAACCTACATGAAAAAAAAAGCTATAAAATACAGTGATTGGTGTGGTCATCACTCAAGGTGTGGAGGAGGGAGGAGAGGGTTTCCAAAAAATGGTCAGTTATGCCCTCAGCTTTCAGGCCTGATGTCTTCCCAACACACAGCAGGACTAAAAACCCAAGAGCTGTGTTTCTTCAAGTGTGGCTGTGGCGCCTGCATCAGAGTCACCTGTGGCGCTTACTAGGCATGCAGGTTCCCTAGCAAGCCCCTGAAGGCCAGACGCCTGTGTCTCCAGCTGGCTCTCCAGGGCTCTGATGCCATCGTTTCAGAAGCCAGGTTTAAAGGCTTGGAGCTGCCAACCACCCTTGTCCCCAAGGAACCCTCCCTGGGATGGGGCGCACTGGTCCTCTGAGGGGCTGGTGTCAGCTAAGTGGCCCTGGGGTGGGGACACTCATCCCCACAGCTCTGGGCGGGCAGGCAGGCAGGCAGGCAGGCTGGCTGGCCTGGGGTCAGTACTGGGGCAGATAGGCTGGCCTGCGCTCACCCTTCCCAGGGAAGGCCTTGAAGCCCTTGGGTGCTGCCTTGTGTGCTGGTGGGGGTGGGGGCTGGGGTGGGGTCTGCACATAGGAGAAGGCAGCGGCACTGCAGTCGTTGGTTGCGGCCCACACTGGGGACTGCAGCATCTGCATGGTGTCGTTCCACTGGCTGCCAGGGCTGGTGACTGCATAGAGTGGTGCGCTGGGGCTGGGCAGCGTGCTGGGAAGCGGGGAAGGGTGCTGCCAGGGTGCTTTGGGTGGCCACGTTTTGGTTTTGTTATCCTGAGAAACAAAAGAGAGTTCTTAGTGGCATTTCGGGCAATGTATCATCATTTCCCACCTCCCCAGATGCCTGGCCCTTATTCCCTCCTAGGAAGCCGGGTGAGAGCCCCACTCACTCCCACACCCCTGTCCAACAGAACTTCTTGCAATGATAGCCATGTTCTGTGCCTATACGGTCTAGTATGGTAGCCACTCGCCACATGTGACTAGTGCAAACTGAGGAAAGGAACTTTTTTTTTTTTTTTTTGAGATGCAGTCTGTCTCTCGCCCAGGCTGGAGTGCAGTGGTACGATCTCGGCTCACTGCAACCTCTGCCTCCGGGGTTCAAGCGATTCTCCTGTCTCAGCCTTCTGAGTAGCTCGGATTACAAGCGCATGCCACCATGCCTGGCTAATTTTTGTATTTTTAGTAGAGATGGGATTTCACCGTGTTAGCCAGGATAGTCTCGATCTCCTGACCTCGTTCGTGATCCACCCGCCTTGGCCTCCCAAAGTGCTGGGATTACAGGCGTCGCCACTGCGCCCGGCTGATTGTTTTTAAAAAGTATTTTAGAGGCAGTCTCGCTCTGTCACCCAGGCTGGAGTGCAATGGTGCAATCATAGCTTACTGTAATCTCAAATTCCTGGGTTCAAGCCATCCTCCTGCCTCAGCCTCCTGGGCAGCTAGGACTACAGGCATGTGCCACCATGCCTAGCTGATCTTTTAATTTTTTTGCAGAGACAGTGTCTATATTACCTGGGCTGGTCAAGAACTCCTGGCCTCAAGCCATCCTTCTGCCTTGGCCTCCCAAAGCACTGGGATTACAGGCATCAGCCACCACACCCGGCCTGAATTTTTATTTGTATTTAAATTTACATAGCCACATGTGGTGAATGGCTATCACACTGGACAGCACAGCCGTAGAGCTTCCTGTGGCTCTGAGTCAGCTGAGGTGGCTAATCATTTACACAAAATTAATCACCACAAAGAAGATCCCTCATTACTTTGAGGCCCTCTGAAAACTGCAGCTGTGGAAGCTAGCCCAAGTCTGTGCCCACAGAGCCTGCCTGAATACCTGGTTCACATCCTCCACCGTGGTGAGGAGAGGTGGTGAGGGCAGCGTGCTGGTGTCTTGCTCTCCACTGCTGTGTTTCCTGCAAGAACCAAGAGCTCAGGGCAGTGATTGCTTGGCTTCCTGCCCAGCCCACCTGTAGGGTACACACTAGTGCTAGGCTCCAGCATCTCCAGGCCCTGGTTCTAGGAGGGGAGGAGGCCTGCCTGGGTCAATGGCATAAAGGCGGCTAAGGGGAGCCAGCAGTGAATGACGGCGCTCCTGCACTGCCAGTGCAGGTGGAGGAGCTGGGGGTGGAGGTGGCAGGCAAAGACAGGCACTGGTTTACTCAGCTGCTGAGTCCACCTTCTTTGGCTTTATTATTATTATTATTATTATTTTATTTTTTTTTTTTTTTTTGAGACTGAGTCTCACTGTTTCCCAGGCTGGAGTGCAGTGGCATGATCTCAGCTCATTGCAAACTCTGCATCCCAGGTTCAAGCAATTCTTGTGCCTCAGCGTCCCGAGTAGCTGGGATTACAGGTGCGTGCCACCATGCCCAGCTAATTTTTGTATTTTTAGTAGAGATGGGGTTTCACCATGTTGGCCAGGCTGATCTCGAACTCCTGACCTCAGGTGATCTGCCCGCCTAAGCCTCCCAAAGTACTGGGATTGCAGGTGTGAGCCACCGAGTCCGGCCGGCTTTTTGTTAATTTATTTAAGAGATACTGTTTCCGGCCGGGTGCGGTGGCTCACGCCTTTAATCCCAACACTTTGGGAGGCCGAGGTAGGTGGATCACGAGGTCAGGA